>NC_000014.9:76429894-76581409 GCF_000001405.40 Homo sapiens | reverse complement strand
AAAGAGCTCCGTAAAATGTAAAGATTATATTAATATGATTAATTGCTATCACTGTTATTGTTATTTGAGCCAGTTCAAATATTCATTTAAATATGCCAATGGATAAAAGAGCAGTGGGCGGGAACCCCAAGTTATAGGAACATAGAATGCATGCACTCTTCAAAACCATCATCTAGATCAGAGGTTGGCAAACCACAGCCTGTGGGAAAATCTGGCCCACAGTCTGTTTTTGTAAATAAAGTTTTATTGGAACACAGCCATACTCATTTGGCTACATATTGCCTAGGGGTGCTGCAACAGGAGAGTTCAGTAGTGTAACAGAGAGCATATGGCAGGCAAAGCCTAAAATATGTGTTACCTAGCCCTTTACAGAAAAAGTTTGGGGACCCCTGGTCTGCACAGTCAACAGAAGGATCTGTCTAAAAGCTCCAACCATGTTACAATCCACCTCTTCAACAGTACCCTGTTCAACAAGGAACATAGGCCAGGCTTCAGCCCACCCAGCCAGCCTCATCTTCCTGTTACAGACTTCATGCTTTAGAAAACCAAGCTTCTTTCTTGCAGTTTCCTTGCTCAGTGTTGTTTCTCATCCCATGCCTTTGCCAAGGACGTGAGGCTGGCTTGGGATGGTTCTGGCAGGTTGAGACCTAAGCTCCTTTTCTAGCCTCTGCTTGGATCTCTTAGCCCCATCCCAGGAGCCTTCAGCCCCTCTGTCCTTGAAACAGGAATACAGCATGAGGGTCCACTGCCTCCTCTTAGCCTGGGAAGGCCTGAAGGCGTGAGCATCACTCAGGAACTTGGCTCTGGAGTGTGTAAAGCCCCAGTTCCATGCCTGTCACCCAGGAAGCAGCAATAAATAGTCACTATTATTATCGCTTAGCACCCACTTTTGGGTCCTGCCAAGTTTCAGAGTGCTCCAACTTTCATGGGGCCCTTGACCTGCTGTGAGAATTTAAGGACCTGCTGTGAGAATTAACCATCTACCTGCTGCTCCAACCCATTCTCTCCTCTCTGGGAGAGGCAGGGATTTTTCTAAGGCAGGTGACACTATAATTTCAAGTGCTCTGTAATGACTTCTTAGTTACACAGACACTTAATAGAATTTCCTGAGATAGAGGTTGAGTCCACAGTAATTCTAGACCTCCTATTGACTTGAGTGTAATTGCTGCTAATAGACAAAGAGGTAATTACTGTGTGACCTGCCTTCTGGTTTGGAAGCAAACAGTCACACATGTTGTGCTGTTGGGGGCATCTGACAAGTGTTACTCTTGTGCCCAATTGTGCCCGACCGAGTCTCTGCCCTACTTGAAAAGACCCAGTGATCCAATCAATCACAGGACCGCTGAATCTCTGGCTGGCAAGGGATATTGAGGTCCTGTGGTAGGCAGGCTAAGGGTGCCTGAAGATGTTCATGTCCTAATCCCCTGAACCTGGGAATATGTTATGTTATATGAAAAAAGGGAATTAAGGTTGCAGATGGAATTAAGAATGTCAGTCAGCCGACCTTCAAATAGGAAGATTGTCTTGGGTCATCTGGGTGGGCCTAATATAATCATGAATGCGAAAGAGGGAGGCAGAAGAGGTCAGAATGATATGATATGAGAAGAACTAGACCCACCACTGCTGGCTTCGAAGGTGGAGAAAAGATCCACACGCCACAAAACGGGGTGGCCCCTATAAGCTGGAAAAGGAAAGAAAATGGATTCTCCCTGCGAGCTTCCACAAAGGACCACAGCCCTGCCACACCTTGATTTTAGTCCTGTGAACCTGATGTTGCATTTCTTTTTCCTTTTTTTTTTTTTTTTTTGAGATGGAGTCTCGCTCTGTTGCCCAGGCTGGAGTGCAGTGGCATGATCTTGGCTCACTGCAACCTCTGCCTCCTGGGTTCAAGTGATTCTCGTGCCTCAGCCTTCTGAGTAGCTGGGATCACAGGCGTGCGCCACCATGTCCGGCTAATTTTTGTATTTTCAGTAGAGACGGGGTTTTACCATATTGGTCTCAAACTTCTGGCCTCAAGTGATATATCCGCCTCGGCCTCCCAAAGTGCTGGGATTACAGGTGTGAGCCACCATGCTGGGTCTGATGATGCATTTCTAATTTACAGAACTATAAGGTAATAACCTGTGCCATTGGAAGCCACTGAGTTCATGGTCACTTGTTACAGCAGTTGTTGAGTACGATTGTCGGCCCCTCGTCTATTCCAGCCCCTTTTACCTGATACAGAAACCCCTCTGCAGTAAGCCTGATTTATGGCCATTTTCCAGCCTCTGCTTGAGGACTTCTGGTATGAGGAGCTCACTGCTCAGGACACAGCCTATCCGATATTGGTCGGATATCATTGTTGGAAAAGACTCCCCTTGTGGGTTCAAAATTCATCTCCCATAACTTTGAATCATTTGTTCTAGTTCTTCCTTGGGGACGCACAGACTTACACACTCACGTACATACACAAGTGCATTGAAGTTTCCCATGATGGCTCTTCACATATATGAAGAACTCCCCAGAGCCTGGCATGAAGAAAGCACCATAAACATTTGCTGATGGACAAATGAAAAAATGCAGCTCCTGCAGCTCCCCTGTGACAGTGTCATGAACTGGAGCTGACCTCTGTTATTTTTGTCCCCAGCTGTAGCGTCTACTCTCCCCTTTCTCCGCTAGCAACACCCAGATTCTCCTTGGGAAATGCCCTCCTTAGCTCTTCATTTGGCTTGGCTGACAAAGCATTGCACCCCTGTCCCGCCTCTGGCCACAGTGATGGATTCAGGGGTGGCACACAACTCAATCCCGGAAACTGGAACTGATGAGACTCAGTTCTTGGACTTTGGTGGGGAGAGGACCATTGAGAAAAGGGCCTGGCCGGGTGCAGTGGCTCACGCCTGTAATCCCAGCTCTCAGGGAGGCAGAGGCGGGAGGATAGCTTGAGCCCAGGAGTTCTAGACCTGCCTGGGCAATATAGAGAGACCCCGTTCTCCACAAAAAGGAAGAAAAAAAAAAAGACGAGAAAGGGGCCCTGTTCTAATGAGAGGCCCAGGAATCTGACTTTTAATAAGTACAAGTACTCCAGTTTCTTGTTTTGCACATCCTGCGGGTCGCATTTTGAGAAACATTGCATGGGGGTTGTTTATCTGGAATCTTAATCTGAACTCCACAAATGTAGACTCAAATACCAACCCTGAAGGTGGATTTTAACTCAGGACTTTATCAGGGCAAGAAGAGGATTATTGGAGAAGACCTAAACCCATATGAGAATAAACCATGGATAGGTTTGTTAAACATAAAACTATAGTGAATTAATCACCTCAACTTTTTTCAGTTCACCCTTTCACTTGGGGTCTGGTGAACCTGCTAAACAGTCAGGCCCACTCATGTGCTCGCTCTCTCTCTCTCTCTCTCTCGTTCTCTCTTTCTCTCTCTCTCTTAGCCCATGTGGACACCCAGATTACGGAGAACAAAGAGAAGCCTAATCTGAGGTTCCCTCCATTGCCTCACCCCCTTCCAGACTCAGAATAAGTGAAAGCCTTGTTCCCATGAATGCTCAGGGCCAAGGGGCTCTGGGGAGTCTCTTGGGGCACAGGCACTCTATCCTCACTGGAGAGGCCTGAGTGTTAGCAACCAGGCCTTTGGAAGTTCCCCAGGGTTCTGTGCCCTCTGAGGCCCAATCCAGATACCAGCCATTCTCTCTTCTGGTCTGAAGGACAAATGGGGAGCTGCCTCCAGAGGCTTGATTATAGTCTATAGTTTGGGACTGCCCTATGATCTCCTGGGATGTGTAGTTGGAATTAGCGGTGCTGTCCAGGCCCCTGCAGCCACCTCTCTAACAGAGCCAGGGCTTGGCACACAATTGGCTCTTAGAAATATATGTTGGATGTACGATTGAATGAGAGCAGATAGAGAGGGGGAGAGGGAAAATGGGAAGAGAACAGTTCTTTCAACTCCCACTTGGCTAGAATAAGGAGCTACTTTAATAAACTTCCCATCAAAATGGCATTGCTTGCATGATAACCAAGAAAGCAGAAACAATCCAAATGCCCATGAAATTCCCATGGATAAGTGGATGAACAAAATGTGGTATATCCACACCATGGAATATTATGCAGCCATAAAAAGGAATGAAGTTCTGATATGAGCTACAGTGTGGATGAACCTCAAAATGCTGGGTGGCAGAAGCCAGACACAAAAGGTCACCTGTTGCATGATTCCATTTATATGAAATATCTAGAATAGGTAAATCCATAGAGACAGCAGATTAGTGGTTGCCAGGGGAAGGCGGGGAGGGAGTAATGACAGTGAATGCTTAATGATCACGGGGTGTCCCTTGAAGGTGATAAAAATACTTGAAACTAGATAGAGATGATGGTGGCACAACATCGTGAATATACTAAGTGCCATTGAATTTTGTATACTTTCAAATGGTTAGTTTTATGATATGTGCATTTCACTTCAGTTTTTTTTATATTGCATGATATATTAATCTTGTCGCAGGGCTATCTGGCAGCCTTAATGCTATTTGGCATCCCATCCTCCAGCTGTGAGGGCTATTTCATTCTCAAGGACTCATTTTGCAGTTTGGGGGTCATTCCAGCACTGTACCCTCCCATGACCTTCCCCTCCACTTCTCCCCTGGTCTAAGGCATTGCTAGAATTTCACTTCCTGGTGGTTTCTCATTTGGGCTTCCTCCACCAGGCTATTGCTATCTCTGCTTCCCTGTTCCCTGCTCCTTTCAGTGGCCAAGCCTCAGTGGCCACCTGTCCTTTTCCCTGAGCCAGTCTCCATCCAGCACGGTTTCCTATGAACCTAGGAAGGTCAGGGGCTAACTGCCAATTCCATTCTGCTAGGGTTTTGGTGACGTCTGTAGCCAGGAATGGCTAGAATTTTGTTTTTGATTTCCTCTTCTGGCTGTCATCCAATTCCACTTCAAGTGTCAGCCATGGCTACTACAGTTTACCGGGTGCTGGTAGGGTGGGTCATTTCCCATTCAGAGGACTTATAACTATTCTAGAAGAGCTCTCAGCTCCTGCCTCTGCTGCTCCCATCACTGGGTCTCTCAGGTTATAAGCCTCTGCCGTTCGACTTTGTGGACTCCTTTTCCCAAGCTCCTCTCCTCTGCTCTTCTCTCTGATATCACACAGATGTGTGCAGAGATGGGCAGGCTGGCGTGGGCTCCTGCGCATGCACACAAGCTCCTCTGCAAAACCTCCCAACTGCAGCTCCACCTCCATGGCGTCAGGGGGTGTTGAGTGTAGTCTGGAGGACTCTCCCCCTCTACTCCAGAAGACAAAGCAGCTGTCCCTAGGGCTGGGGCTCAAACACAAGCTTGTCTTTTTTCAAATCACTTTAAATCACTGTGCCTCTATGTTATGGGTTGAATTGCATCCCCTAAAAAGATATGTTTAAGTCTCAATTCCTGGTCCCTGTGAATGAGAACTGATTTGAAAATTAGGGACCTTGCAGATGTAATAAAGTTAAGACGAGGTCATTAGGGCCGGGGGTGGTGGCTCACACCTGCAATCTCAGCACTTTGGGAGGCCGAAGCAGGGAGACCACTCGAGGTCAGGAGTTCGAGACCAGCCTGGCCAACATGGTGAAATCCCATCTCTACTAAAAATACAAAAATTAGCTGGGTGTGATGGCACATGCCTGTACTCCAGCTACTCAGGAGACTGAGGCAGGAGAATCACTTGAACCTGGGAGGCAAAGGTTACGGTGAGCCATGATCCAGCCACTGTACTTCAGCCTGGGTGACAGAGCCAGACTCCATCTCAAAAAAAAAAAAAAAAAAAAAAAAAAAAAAGATGAGGTCATTAGGGTGGGTCCTAAATCCAATCTGACCTGTGTCCTTGTAAGAAGAAGAAAATTTGGGTACAGATGCAACGAGAGAAGCAGAAATTGGAGTTAGGCTGCCACAAACCCAGGTCTACCTGGGGCTGCCGGAAGCCGGGAGAGGCAAGGAAGGATCCTCCCCTAGAGCTTCTGGAGGGAGTGTGGCCGCAGCTGCCTCACCTTGATTCAGAATTTTGGCCTCCAGAACTATGAGAGAACAGATTTCTGTTGTTTTAAGTCACTCGGTTTGTGACATTTCGTAACGACAGCCCTAGGAAACTAACATACTCCGCCTCCATAGAGAGCAGTAATAGACATGTTTTGAACACGGAAAATCCCTGCACACATGTCAGGGTAGAGTTGTTGAGGATCAGGAAGGTAAAGCCTGTGAAAGAAAAAGATTTGAAGTGTTAAGCACCGGTCACACATTATTATGAAATCATTATTCTATTATTGAGAAAACAGAACCAACTTCTGAGCATCCCACCTCCCCTCTGACTTGCGTGCACCTGATAATTTCTTAACCATTTGCATTCCTCCTTTTGTCAGTTCCCTTCTCCTGCTTCCCCTTTAATACCTTGCAAACATGAAGAAGAAACCGTCCCTGACAGCCCAGTTAGGGACAAGGGATAGGTTAGCCCAGCTCCGAGGCACGCTGCACACAGTTAATTTCCCCCGCCGGGGCTGGGAACCCCAGTCTCCGTCCCGGGCGTGCGTGTGCGCTCATGTGTGCCCCCGGAGCATAGGGAGAGAATCCAGTGATATTTCACACAAATGAGAAATGTTATTCTGCAGATTAAAGCCTCGCTGAGCCTGGTTTTGTCTTTATTTATGCTTTTCCATTTCCCTCTGTGCTGACATGGGTGCCCACGCCAGGGAGCACTGAAGGACGTAATTGGCGTGGTGAAGGATTGTTGAGTGGCCTGGACGCTCCCTTGCAGGGATGCCCCCCTTCTCTCCCCCATCTGTCACCATCTAATGTGACAAAGTTTTTATCGGGCATTGAGGCACAGGAGATTAAAAGTAAATACTGCAATCAGGAGGCAGCTGGGGAGAAAATGCAGCGCATTTCACAGTAAGCTGCACAGCTCATCAGGGTAGCCTTGTGGCTCCGTGAGGCGGGGGGTGGGGAGATGGGGGGATGGAGAACTCCAGGTTGGGGTGAATGCGGGGAGACACAGGCCTAAGCCGCTGTGCGTTCACTTTTTGGTAAGTAATAATAAAATCATGGCAGCTGCCATATATCAAATGCCTACTATGTGCCAGGCATTTGGACCAGGTGGTTTTTGAACATTTCCTGATGTAATCCTCAGGATGATAACTTACAGTTGGAATAACCTCCTCCTTTAATAGATGAAGAACCTGAAGGCCAGAGAGGTTAAGGAACATGTCCAAGGTCACACAGCTGATGAGCTGCCCAGGAAGCCCTCTCTCCTTCTCCTTTCTGCTCTCTTCTTCCCTGAACAGATACTGGGGTTTGGGTTTGCAAGATAAATTGCCACTGGAGAAACTGTGTTTTGTTGCATTTTCATTGCTATGTTGTACTAAACGACAAGCATCCTCCACTAATGAATTAATTCCATCTTATATTCATTCATTTGGCATACATGGTTTATGTTCTGCTTGCTTTTTCTATTCAGTATCTCTAGCACCCAGAGCATTGTCTAGTACATAGTAAGTGCTCAATAAATATTTGTTGAATGGCTGATTGATTTATTGAATAAATAAATATTAGTCAGGACCTCCTATGCCATTGGTACTCAAGTGTGGTCCCTAGACCAGCAGCATTGACATCCCTTGAGAGCTTGTTAGAAATGCAGAATCTCGGGTGACACCCTAGATCTGCTGAATCACATTCCCAGGTGATTCATGTGATGCTGAAGTTTGAGGAACACTGGCATGTATATAAGACCCCTTGTCCTGACGGCCCAAGCTTTCCTGCTTCGTGGGTGAAGGAGGTTGAATTTCACTTACCTCTGAGATAGTGCTTTATGCCACACATCATTAAATCCTATTGCTAAAATAACCAGCTTTAGATGGTTTTTCAGTGTAGACTGAATCAGCCATGGGTGGGCCCCTGCAAATCCTTCTCCTTTGGTCTCCCTTCCCCTTTCCTTTTTCTCCCTCTGCCCTCCCTACAGGTCTGGGTCTATGGTCCTGGCTGATAGCAGATCTTTGAATTCTTCAGACGGGGCTCTGTCCTTAGCTACTATGTTCTCTCTCGAAGACTTTGATCTCTTCTCATTGCAGAACCAGGTGGCCTTGGACTGACCCAGTTCTCCCCCCATTCCCCACAGTTTCTTGCTTGTAGTTCTCAAGAATAACTATGGCCGGGCGCAGTGGCTCACGCCTGTAATCCCAGTGCTTTGGAAGGCTGGGGTGGGTGAATCATGAGGTCAGGAGTTCGAGACCAGCCTGGCCAACATGGTGAAACCCCATCTCTACTAAAAATACAAAAAATTAGCTGGGTGTAGTTGTGGGCTCCTGTAATCCCAGCTACTCAGGAGGCTGAGGCAGGAGAATTGCTCGAACCCAGGAGGCAGAAGTTGCAGTGAGCTGAAATCGCGCCACTGCACGCCAGCCTGGGCAACAGAGTGAGACTCTGTTTCAAAAAAAAAAAAAAAAAAGAATAACTACAATGTGTTAGGAATGCAACATCCTGAGACACAGAGGGACTGCCCCACACAGGCTTTGAACCTCTCTCTCCTGTGGAAGCAGGATGTTCTCAATGCTTTAGTTCAGTGGGTGACATGACCCCAAGGTATATAACCCAGGGAGTAAAGACTCCATCCCCTGCAAGCCTTGTGTGGTGATGCATGCCTGCAGTCCCAAATACTGGAAGAGATGGGGATGGGGAGGCTGAGGTGGGAGGACTGCTTGAGCCCAGGAGTTCAAGGCTGCAGTGAGCTATGATAAAGCCACTGCACACCAGCCTGGGCAACAAACGAGACCCGGTCTCTAAAAGGAAAAAAAAAAAGACTCCATCCACCCCAGCCAGCTCTCTTGAGCCTTGGGAAGCTGGCTCACAATGGATCCTAGGCTGCTTCTGTCTCCTGCTGCCTATCTGTAAGCAATAAACCCACTTCACAGAACATGTTGGCTGTGAGTGTGTTCTTTCTCACCGGACTCAGGCATTGAAACTCTGCAGCCCAGGATGCAGTGGACAGAAGTGTTTGACTCCTACTCCCATTAATTGGCATAATGAGGATCTTGGCTGTGCCCCACACAGGGGAGGGCCTTGCTTGGGATTTGTTATTAATGAATCTGCTTCACACTCATGGGCAGGGACCAAGGGCGTGAAAAAGAAAGAAAACTTCATCCTCCCAAACAATGAGCCAAATAAGCCCTTACTTCTGTGGCCCATAGAAAAACAGATTCATGTTTTTATTTTAACTTCCATTGTCTAGCTAGGGAAATTGAGGCCCAGGAAGGAGAAGAATCCCCACATAGGCTGATGACACCAAACACTGAGTAGTATTCGGTCCTTAATAAGAAGATGCAGGCTGGGAGCAGTGGCTCAAATCTGTAATCCCAGCACTTTGGGAAACCGAGGTGGGAGAATCACTGGAGGCCAGGTGTTTGTGACCAGCCTGGGCAACATAGTGAGACCCCATTTCTACAAAAATAAAAAAATTAGCCAGGTGTGGTGGCGCACTGCTATAGCTATTTAGGAAGCTGAGGTGGGAGAATTGCTTGAGTATGGGAGGTCGAGGCTGCCGTGAACCATGATTGTGCTGTTGCATTTCAGCTTGGGTGACAGAGCAAGAATGGCATCTGTCTCAAAAAAAAAAAAAAAAGCAACCACTGAGCCAGATAATGCTTATAAGCTTACATGATAAGAGAACAGTTCCCCCATGTTGAGCCTGTGTGTTGTTCCTTACTTCCCACTTCAGATTTGTGTAGCCCCACTGCCTTGGGGACAAACAGACTTGGCTGTGATGCTAATCTCATTCTCTAGCCTGTAACATTGCCAGTCTCCATCTGCCAGCCTGGACAGAGGCTGCAAACTTGCATGATCCAGGAATTAGAGCAGGGGTGTCCAATCTTTTGGCCTTCCTGGGCCACACTGGAAAAAGAAGAATTGTCTTGGGCCACACATAAAATACATTAACACTAAGGATAGCTGATGAACTAAAAAAAAAAGAAAAGAAAAATATCACACACACAAAAAATCTCATAATGGTTTAAGAAAGTTTAAATTCATGTTGGGTTGCATTCAAAGCCTTGCTGGGCCACATGTGGCCCGCAGGCCACAGGTTGGACAAGCTTGATTGAGTCATACATAAAGCATTCAGTCGGCTACTTAGTAGCATTCATTATTACATTACCGCAATTATTTTATCATGAACTATAAATCTAAGTATACTTTTCTTATTTTAATATTTGCAAATTCAGAGTGCAACTTATAATACAATAAACACATTTGATAAATTGCATTTTTTTTTTTTTTTTTTTTTTTTTTTTTTTTTTTTTTGGAGATGAAGTCTCGCTCTTCTCCCCCAGGCTGGAGTGCGATGGTGAGATCTTGGCTCACTGCAACCTCCGCCTCCTGGGTTCAGGTGGTTCTCCTGCCTCAGCCTCCCGAGGAGCTGGGATTTTAGATGCCCGCCACCACGCCTGGCTAATTTTTGTATTTTTAGTAGAAACGGGGTTTCATCATGTTGGCCAGGCTGGTCTTGAACTCCTGACCTCAGGTGATCCACTGGTCTTGACCTCCCAAAGTGCTGGGATTACAGGCGTGAGCCACTGCGCCAGGCCCATTTATTTCTTTTAAACTTTCATTAGATTGATGGTGTGTGTTACAATTTGTGGCCTCTTAGAATTGAGGGAATATGACATTAAGGCTCTAACAGAATGGGACATGGCACAAGTACATTTTTGTTTGTTTGTTTGTTTTTTGGAGACCAAGTCTTGCTCTGTTGCCCAGGGTGGAGTGCAGTGGTGTGATCTCAACTCATTGCAACCTCCACCTCCCAGGTTCATGCAAATCTTGTGTCTCCGCCTCCCTAGTAGCTGGGATTACAGGCGCCCACCACCATGCCCGGCTAATTTTTTTATTTTTAGTGGAGAAGTGGTTTCTCCATGTTGGCCAGGCTGGTCTTGAACTCCTGACCTCAAGTGATCCACTCACCTTGGCCTCCCAAAGCACTGGGATTACAGGCATGAGCCACTGCACCCGGCCCACAGGTACATTTTGATAGATGATAGGAGGCTTAGGAAAAGTGGAAATGAGGATAAATAAATAATCACTGGGATAATAATAAATACTACTTATTGGGTGCTTATTTTATGCCAGTTATAAGTTTTCTCTAACTATTGAATAAGCTCACAAGGAAGATAACATGACTTTAGGCCGGGTGCGGTGGCTCACGCCTGTAATCCCAGCACTTCAGGAGGTCGAGGTGGGCAGATCACAAGGTCAGGAGATCGAGACCATCCTGGCCAACATGGCAAGACCCCGTCTTTACTAAAAATACAAAAATTAGCTGGGCGTGGTAGTGCGTGCCTGTAATCCCAGCTATTCAGGAGGCTGAGGCAGGAGAATTGCTTGAACCCAAGAGGGAGAGATTGCAGTGAGCCAAGATAGCATTGCTGCACTCCAGCCTGGGCAACAGAGGACAGAGCAAGACTCCGTCTCAAAAAAAAAAAAAGATAATGTGACTTTAATAATTTTAAACATTTGTATATTACAGTCTTCATCTTATGGCCTTTTTATTTAATAAACACTTTATTGAGATATAATCCCTATGCCATAAAATTCATTCTTTTAAAGAGTACAATTTAGCGGATTTTAGTATATTCACAGTTGTATCTATAGCCTTTTTAAATGTGAACTTCTTGTGGATCTGATCTTACTGCCTCTTATATCTGCCAACTTTCACTCATGGTGAATTATTTCCTTGTGGGTTTTGTAATTTTAGATTGTGAGTTCATCTTCAGTAAGGCTTTGCATGTGGAAATCCTACATCAATTGGATAGAAAATGTGTTCCTCTAGAGGGAGTATTGTATTTGCCCTTAGGTATAACTGGCCCTAGACTTCCTTTTGCTGTTGTTGTTGTTGTTAGTTGATTGGATTAGAGCTCCAAAACCACGGGAGTAGAGTAAATTTGAATTCCAAACCTATGGGAGGGAGACAGGGGTCATGGTTAGGAATTCCCAAAGACATTTTCCTGCACAGAGCCCAGGCCTGGATCAGGATTTCTCAATGACATTTTGTGCATTATTGACATCCTGGGCTGGGCATCTCTTTGTTGTGAGGAGCTGCCCCCTACATGGCAGGATGTTTAGCAGCATCTTTGGCCTCTACCCATTAGATGCCAGCAGTACCCTTCCCCTAAGTTGTGACAATCAGGTGTCTCTCTGCCCCCTAAGGGACATTGCCGAATGTCCCCTGTGGGGCAAAATTGCCCCTGGTTGAGAACCTCTGGTCTAGACAAACAAGCTTCCTCAATATTATGGAAAAAGAAAGAGACCTCAGCACGTTTCCATGCCATCAACCTGTGGCAGCCAGAGGATGTTTTCCTTATTTTCCCAGTTTTGCTAAGGTTGTAGCCTTTTAGGGGTTATGGATTTATGGGGTCTCAGTTCCAATTGCCCTCCCCTCACCTGGGGCCAGGGTCCTTAGGCAGGGGCTGGGGTAGGATGGGGAACATAGGGACAGCTCTTGTGCTTTGTGGTCCTGTTTCTGGTTTTCCTTTTTTATTTTTAGCTCCTATGGGTTTCTCTTACTTTCTTGGAAATTTGTTTATACATTTTTTGTTGTTGTTGAGATAGGGTCTCACTCTGTCACCCAAGCTGGAATGCAGTGGGATGACTGTAGCTCACTGCAGCCTTGAACTCCTAGGCTCAAGTGATCCTAATCCTCCTGTCTCAGCCACCTGAGTGTCTAGGACTATAACTGTAAGCCACCACACCTGGCTAATTTTTTTATTTTTATTTTTTGTAGATATGGAATCCTGTCATGTTGCCCAGGCTGGTCTTGAACTCCTGGCCTCAAGCATTCCTCCCATCTAGGCCTCTCAAAGTGCTAGAATTACAGGCATGAGCCATTGTGCCTGTCAGTTTATACATTTGGAAGACTGCCAGGTTACATTAAGCATTTCTGGGTATTTTGTAACAAGATGAATTTTAGGTCATCAAGTCTATAATATTGCTAGAATTGTGGATCCCTAGGTAGATATCATTATTGCCATACGGACATGAAGAAACTAAGACCAAAAGAGGTTGAGTGATTCAAAGACCACACAGCTGATAGGTGGCAAAGCTTGGATTTGAACCTAGGTCTGTCTGGTTTAAAAGTTAAGAGCTATGTAGAATCCAGTGGTTTGGGAATTGGAAGGCACATCCTATTACTGCTCTAACAAGACAAATTACCAAGAATGTAGTGGCTTAAGAAGTCTGCAAGGGGTTGGCAGGGCAGCATTCCTTCTGAAGGCTCTAAGGGAGAACCCATTGTCTTGCCTTTTCCAGCTTCTAGTGGCTGCCTGTAGTCATGGTTCCATGGTCCCTTCCTCGCTTCAACTTCTGCTGCTTCTGTTATTCTATCTTCTTCTCCAACTCTGACCCTCCTGCCTTTCTCTTATAAGGATGCTTGTGATCATACTGAATCCACTCAGATAATCCAGGATAATCTCTGTATCTCAAGACCCTTGATTTAATCACAACTCTGAAAACCCCTCTGCAATGTAGAGTGAGATATTTACAGCTTCTGGGGATTAAGACATGAACATTTGTAGGGGGGCGTCATTCAGCCTATCACAGAAAGGATCTAACAAATACAAATGTTCTTTAACTTACAATGCGGCATCAGAAATTGAAAATATTGGCCAGGCGCAGTGGCTCACGCCTGTAATCCCAGCACTTTGGGAGGCCAAGGCTGGGGGATCACAAGGTCAGGAGTTTGAGACCAGCCTGGCCAAAATTGTGAAACCCTGTCTCTACTAAAAATACAAAAATTAGCCTGGCGTGGTGGCACACACCTGTAATCCCAGCTACTCGGGAGGCTGAGGCAGGAGAATTGCTTGAGCCTGGGAGGCAGAGGTTGCAGTGAGCAGAGATGGCTCCACCACACTATAGCCTGGGTGACAGAGTGAGACTCCATCTAAAAAAAAAAAAAAGAAAAACAAGAAATGGAAAATACTGTAAGTTGAAAATGCATTTAATACACCTAACTTACCAAACATGTGAGGGTAAACGCTTAGGGACACACACACACACACACACACACACACACACACACACACACAGAGTCAAGCTGATTGTCCCAAGTTTATTAGCACAGAGACAACTTGGGGATTGTGTACGAGGGCCACCACATTTTCAGATCCCCTAGACGAGGATGAAGCCCCTGTGAACACAGACACTGCGACTGACCCACTGGCCACTGCCAAGAACACAAAGCCCCGCCCCCACATGCTGAGGCACCTGGGTCCATAGGTGCTCCTGTGGGCCGTGGGACCTGGGTGTCCTCACTTGGCTTCCTTTGACCAAGGGGAGAGACAAGCTTGTGACCACTGCAGAGACTCTGTGTGGACGTGTGCACAGCAGTTGGTGTGAATAAATGGTCAACGGTTCTCATTTCAACCAAAGTTCACTAACCTCCAGCTCTTTGCCAGGGAGTGGAGATGAATACATTCATTAATTGTTCAAGAAGTCCTTATTGGCTGGGCACAGTGGCTCACGCCTGTAATCCCAGCACTTTTGGAGGCCGAGGTGGGAGGATTGCTTGAGCCCAGGAGTTCAAGACCAGCCTGCGCAACACAGGGAGACTCTGTCTCTACAAAAAATACAAAAATTAGCCAGACATGGTGGCACTCACCTCCCCTGCATTCACCTCCCCTACGCTCACCTCCCCTGCACTTACCTCCCCTGCACTCACCTCCCCTGCACTCACCTCCCCTGCACTCACCTTCCCTGCACTCACTTTCCCTGCACTCACCTCCCCTGCACTCACTTTCCCTACACTCACTCTTTAGGTACTTACTGAAGAAGCCCTGACTCTGACGGAGGGCTGCTGGCTAGGAAGCAGGCTTGGTCTGCACAACGGTTAGGCTAGAAGTGCCAGGGAGCTCATGCCCCTGGGAGCAACCCTCAACTAATGTCCAGTGGGAACTTAAGATAATGCCTCAGCTCCTCTGTCCTCAGGCAGGAGTAGGACAATACTGGGACTTGTTCTGCACACTCTCCCAGGGTCCCCAGCATGACTGCACCCCAGGTGCCCACAGGGTGAGTTGCTCCCTGACATTCACTGCATCGCCTTCCTTCCCTTCCCTGTTTTCACTGTCCCGTGCCCCTTCAGGAGCTTCCTGTCCCAGAAACCACCTCATTCACATCCTCACTCAGGCTCTGCTTCTGGGGAACCCAGCCTAAGACAATCACTGAGTGGGGAGAAAGATGCCTGGTTCTTAGCCAAATGAGGATTTCTTTTTTAATATTTTAAAAAATTCATTTATTTATTTTTGGAGATAGGATCTTGCTCTATTGCCCAGGCTGGAGTTCAGTGTCACCATCATGGCTCACTGCAGGCTTGAACTCCTGGACTCAAGGGATCCTCCTGCTTCAGCCTCCCAAGTAGCTAGGACTACAGGTGCGACCACCACGCCTGGCTAATTTTTGTATTTTTTGTAGAGACAGAGTCTCCCTGTGTTGCGCAGGCTGGTCTTGAACTCCTGGGCTCAAGCAATCCTCCCACCTCGGCCTCCAAAGGTGCTGGGATTACAGGCGTGAGCCACTGTGCCCAGCCAGTAAGGACTTCTTGAACAATTAATGAATGTATTCATCTCCACTCCCTGGCAAAGAGCTGGAGGTTAGTGAACTTTGGTTGAAATGAGAACCGTTGACCATTTATTCACACCAACTGCTGTGCACACGTCCACACAGAGTCTCTGCAGTGGTCACAAGCTTGTCTCTCCCCTTGGTCAAAGGAAGCCAAGTGAGGACACCCAGGTCCCACGGCCCACAGGAGCACCTATGGACCCAGGTGCCTCAGCATGTGGGGGCGGGGCTTTGTGTTCTTGGCAGTGGCCAGTGGGTCAGTCCCAGTGTCTGTGTTCACAGGGGCTTCATCCTCGTCTAGGGGATCTGAAAATGTGGTGGCCCTCGTACACAATCCCCAAGTTGTCTCTGTGCTAATAAACTTGGGACAATCAGCTTGACTCTGTGTGTGTGTGTGTGTGTGTGTGTCCCTAAGCGTTTGTATGCTCGTATCTCGCACTTAGTGTCTGGTGTGTATATGTGTACCCGTGTTTTGTGCTTCAGTGTGTATTTGTGTGTGCGCAGTGGCTGCCTGTCATTATGCCGCTAATGGAAATACGGCCACGGATCGCAACTCTCAATTAGCTCCCGGGGCGATCTCTGTGACAGCCAGTTACCGAACAGCAAGGCCTAACGGAATGAATTAATTTGTAGTACACGGCAGTTAGAGTCACTGTGTTAGCCACAGGGACTCAACAGTCAGAGACCCTGATTAGAGGGGCTCGGACCATTTGGCAACAGAAGGTACCTGGGAGGCCTCTCCCCTGAGTTCCTGACCTAGGAAGGGGATCAGAGGAACATCAGGGACCTTAGCTGAGCTCAGGACCATGCAGCCATCAACCACTCCAGCCGGAGGGCTCTGGCTGGCACTTGGCCAGGCCAAAGGCCCAGGGTGTCAGGAGCTTGGGAGGTTGGTGAAGCCTTGTTCTCTCTCTCTCTCTCTCTCTCTCTCTCCTCTCTCTCTCTCTCCTCTCTCTCTCTCTCTCTCTCTCCTCTCTCTCTCTCTCCTCTCTCTCTCTCTCCTCTCTCTCTCCTCCTCTCTCTCTCTCTCCTCTCTCTCTCTCTCTCTCTCCTCTCTCTCTCTCTCTCCTCTCTCTCTCTCTCTCTCCTCTCTCTCTGTCTTCAAACTGAAACTTTGATTGGTTCATTTTGTTTGGAGTGGGGCCAGATCTCTTCAAGAATGGAGTCTTCAGGGGTCAGCTAGGGGGAGCCCTAGGGCGCCAGGGAAAGACAGAAGTCAACCATTTCTCCATGTATTTGTTAGGACTCTTTCTTTATTTTGAATTGAACTGCAATTCACATAACATGCAACTAACCATTCCGTGTACCATTCAGTGACATTTGATGCATTCACAATGTGGGCAACCACCACCTCTCTAGTTCCAAAACTTTTCCCTCACCCCAGAAGAACACACTGTACCCTTTGAGTGATCATTCCCCATTCCTCCTCCTCCCCCAGTCCCTCTGACACAACCACTCATCTACTTTCTGACTCTATGGATTTGCCTGTCCTGAAGTTGGTGTGTCAGTGTGGCTAGGCTTCAGTCCCCAGTTATTCAGCCAAGCACTAACTGAAAATGTGGTGGCCCTGGCAGCAAATCTCCCAGTTGTCTCTATGCAAACAAACTTGGGCAAATCAGCTTGAGTGTGTGTGTGAGTGTGTGTGTGTGTGTCTGAGCATTTGTGTGCACATGTGCACACGCTTAGTGTTATCACGAAGGTATTTTGTAAACATGCGTAAAGCCCACAATCCATTGACTTTAGGGGAGACAATTCTTGAAAATCTAGGTGGACCTGATTCAATCGGTTGAAAGATCTTAAAAGCAGAGCCAAAGCTTCCGTAAAGAAGAGATTTCTGCCTGTGGACAGCAGCGTCAGCCCACGCCTGAGAGTTCCAGCCCACCCTTTCTGATGCCTGCTCTGTGGATTCGAATTTGCCCTGCCAGCCCCACAATCACATACCCCAAGCCCTTCAATCTATCTATTTAACATAACTAGCTATCTGCCCACCTATTCTCTATCTATCTAACTACCTATCTATCTATATATAGAGAGATAAGAGATGGAGATATCATCCCCTATCTTGCTTGGAGCCCTACAAACTAACTGGCTCCTCTTTGTGCTCCTTCCCCCAAATGCAAGTACTTCCCAAAGTCCTTCCTTTGTTTGTTTCCTTCCTTGTAATAATACCATCCAGGCAGCTGGGCGTGGTGGCTCATGCCCGTAATCCCAGCACTATGGGAGGCCAAGCCGGGTGGATTACTTTAGGCCAGAGTTCGAGACGAGCCTGGCCAACATGGTGAAACCCTGTCTCTACTAAAAATTCAAAAATTAGCCAGGTGTGGTGGCAGGTGCCTGTAGTCCCAGCTACTTGGGAGGCTGAGGTGGAAGAATCGCTTGAGCCCAGGAGGCAGAGGTTGCAGTGGCCCGAGATCGTGCCACTGCACTCCAGCCTGGGCGACAGGGCAAGACTCCATCTCAAAAAAAGAAAAAAAAAATACCATCCAGGCACATAGCCCAGTAAATATTTAGCTGTCATTGTCATCATTGCTATCACCATTACAGAGTGCAAATGTTAAAGGAACACAGAATTCCATACTAATGAAAAGATTTATGCTTGACCAACAGAGTTCTGGGTGGGAGAGGGGCGAGACTGAATTGTTTCTTGTCACTGCCTGACAGGAGTTTGCCCCTGTTCTTCTGCTTTCAGTGGTGATAACACCATTGTTTTCTTCTCTAGGCAATAGAAGCATCACCTCTTTGTCCAGAATCCAGAAGGCTGGTAATTAAGTGTCGCATGTGAGTAATAAAATACAAGGAGACATTGGCCACACGGACCCCACTCTCATGCCCACGGGCAGATGACAGCTGTGTAGGTACAGGCAGCACGGGTAGCTCTGCTTGGCTGCCCTGGGTGAAGGTGTGTCTGTCCTCGGGCAGACTCAGAGGAGCAAGGAGGGGATCTGCCATGGCATCAAAGAGAATGACAACATCCCTCGGTCCCATTTTCTTCAGGTTTTGCTTTCTCACCTTCTTCCTTTATAATACCACCTAGCTTCTCCAAAGGGCAACATTTACCTGGTGCCTCCATTTCCTCCTTCCGGTCTGGCTTCCCCTCTCCTGCTTTACTGAGTCAAATTCTAAGACATTAACTAGAACCCAACAGCCACATCCAAGGGCTGCACCCAGTTTCTCAGCAGCCTTCACACCTCTCGGCCATGCCTGGCTCCTCCTTGGTGATACTTCTCTCCTGGGGCCTCTATGGCACTGTGCCCTCCTGGCTCTCCTTCTTCCTTGATCACTCTTGCCTCCTTCGCTGGCTCCTCTTTCTGCTCCTGCGCCCCAGTGCAGGCACTTCCCCAAGTTCCTTCTTTGTTTGTTTCCATCCCTTTCTACTGCCTCCTTTTGATGAGTCCACTGGCTCCCATAGCCTCAAAGAGTTCCTCAAGGCAGATGAATCTTCTGTATCCATCTCTATTTCCCCAGTTCCAGCTATGCAAAAATGTGTGTTGAACTGTGAATGGGACACTCATTGCCCCTGTATTGGTTGGGGTTCTCTAGAGGGACAGAACTAATAGGATAGATGTATATATGAAGGGGAGTTAATTAAGGAGTATTGACTGACACGATCACAAGGTGAAGTCCCACAATAGGCCGTCTGCAAGCTGTGGAGCTAGGAAGCCAGTCTGAGTCCCAAAACCTCAAAAGTAGGGAAGCCAACAGTGCAGCCTTCAGTCTGTGGCTTAAGGCCCGAGAGTCCTTGGCAAATCACTGCCATAAGTCCAAGAGTCCAAAAGCAGAAGAACTTGCAGTCTGATGTTCAAGGTCAGGAAGCATCTAACACCATAGAAAAATGGGGCCGGAAGACTCTGTGGGTCTGAGACAGGAGAATAGTGTCTGGAGGCAGGGAATCTATGGCTGATTCACGCTGACTGCCCAGAACTAAATCAAAGGAAAAAACTCAACTTTCCAAACCTAAGTAACAAAAGGACCAGAAGCTATTCCCTTTGCAAACCCTCCCCACATCTTTCTGCATGGCAGGTGGAAAATCGAAAGTATTTATGATTGGTTGCTTTCTGCAACCAATCAGACTGATTACGGGTCACTACTTCATTTGCATGGGGTGTACACCAAGTGGCCAGTGGGGAACCTCTAGGGGGTATTTGGACCCCAGAAGATTCTGTCTCGGGGCTCTGGAGCCGCTGCTCAGCCCACTCCCACCCTATGGAGTGTACTTTCGTTTTCAATAAATCTCTGCTCTTGTTGCTTCATTCTTTCCTTGCTTTGTTTGTGCCTTTTGTCCAATTCTTTGTTCAAGAAGCCAAGAAACTGGACACCCTCCACTATTAACACGTCTGCTCTTTCCAACTTCTTCTGGCCTGCTTTATTCTAGCTGTGCTGCCAGCTGATTAGATGGTGCCCACCTAGACTGAGTGTGGGTCTGCCTCTCCCAGTCCACTGACTCAAATGTTAATCTCCTTTGGCAACACCCTCACAGACACACCCAAGAACAGTACTTTGCATCCTTCAATCCAGTCAAGTTGACACTCAATTATTAACCATCACAGCCTTCTTCCCTCCTTTTACAAATATCCTCCAATTCCAGGTGTTGTTCTTGCTTTTCCAACCTAAACGTGCAGCCGGGATCCTCCTCCCTATGTTCACCTCTATGTCGCTTTCTTACTCAACAGCTCTCAATGAATGGTTGCCCTTTGCCCCATCAGCAAAATTAACACACTTTACTATGATATTTAGTGTCCTTGGTAATCTGAATATAACTACCTTTTCAGTCTTATTTTTCCACTACTCATTTGCCATAACTTGGATATATTCTAAGCCCCCAAACCACTACTCGCATATCCCACCTTTATAATTTTGTTCATTCCACCTGAAATGCCCTTCTCCTAAACTTAAAAAAAAATACCTTTTTTTTTTTTTTTTTTGCAGCTGGGTGCGATGGCTCACGCCTGTAATCCCAGCACTTTGGGAGGCCAAGGCGGGTGGATCACGAGGTCAAGAGATTGAGACCATCCTGGCCAACATGGTGAAACCCCGTCTCTACTAAAAATACAAAAAATTAGCCAGGCGTGGTGGCGGGTGCCTGTAGTCCCAGCTACTCGGGAGGCTGAGGCAGGAGAATCGCTTGAACCAGGGAGGCGGAGGTTGCAGTGAGCCGCAATTGCGCCATTGCACTCCAGCCTGGGCGACAGAGTGAGACTCTGTCTCAAAAAGAAAAAAAAGGAACTTTAAGACAGAGTCTCGCTCTGTCACCCAGGCTGGAGTGCCGTGGCACGATCTCACTGAAACCTCCTCTGCCTCCCGATTCAAGTGATTCTTGTGCCTCACTCGAGTAGCTGGGATTGCAGGTATGCGCCACCATGCTCGGCTAATTTTCGTGTTTTTGGTAGAGACGGGGTTTTGCCATGTTGTCCAGGCTGGTCTCACTCCTGGCCTCAAGTGATCCGCCTGCCTCGGCCTCCCAAAGTGCTGGGATTACAGGCATGAGTCACTGTGCCCGGCCAAAAAAGTAATTTTTTTCTGATGATACAATATATTGAAATGAAAATAAATAGACATAGCAGAGGTATCAGGGGCCAGGGGAAGAAAATAAATAGATGAGAAAATCTGTGGGCCTACTAATTCAGGGCAGGCTATTAGCCAGAAGATGCCCCCACCTTCTAGAATTCATACATATGGGGAAACCCAACTTTGGCTTGTAAGGCATTTCTTCATGTTACCAGAACCAATTTTCTTTTAACCCCAAATACTTCACTGTTTTTCCAAAGGACAAGGACATTCTCTTATGTAACCTTAGTATAGTTATCAAAATCAGAACATTTAATGTTAACAATTGGCTGGATGCAGTGGCTCATGCCTGTAATCCCAGCACTTTGGGAGGTCAAGATAAAAGAGGCCAAGATAGGTGGATCACTTGAGGTCAGGGGTTTGAGACCAGCCTGGACAACATGGTGAAACCCCATCTCTATTAAAAATACAAAACTTAGCCAGGCGCGGTGGCGGTCACCTGTAAGCCCAGCTACTCGGGAACCTGAGGCAAGTGAATTGCTTGAACCCAGGAGGTGGAAGTTGCAGTGAGCCAAGATCATGCCATTGCACTCCAGCTTGGGTGACAGAGCAAGACTCTGTCTCAAAACAAAAACAAAAATAAACTATTATTTAATCTGTAATCTATATTCAAATTTCATCAATGGTCCCTAAAGCAAGTTTCTTTTATAGCTGGTTTTCCTCTTCAGTCCAGGGTCCAATCCAGGATAACCTGGGGGCATTCAGCTGTCATGCTTCTTTTGGTCTTCTTTGATCTGGACAGCTCTCCAGCTTTCCCTTGCATTTCTTGACCTTCACATTACCGTTTAAGAGAGCAGACCAGTTATTTTGTAGAACATCCCTCAGTTTGGGCTTGTCTGATGTTTTTCCATGATGAGATTCAGTTTGTGCATTTGGATAGGGACACTGTTCTTCTCAGTGCCTCACGTCAGGAGGCACAAGATGCCAATTTAACCCAATATTGGTGATATTAACTTTAATCATTTGGTAAAAGTAATATGTGCCAGATTTCTGCATTGTAAAGTTACTATGCTTCCCTCTGTGATGAATACATAATTTGTGTTAAGGTACTCTAAAACTGAAAATAGCCTGTTCCTCATCAAACTTTAACCCACTGGTTTTAGCATCCATTGATGATTTTTGAACTCCATCATTCCATCTGTCTATACTACTTGGCATTCAGCTGTAAGGAAGAACCATCCCTTTTCCCCTGTCTACTTATTTACTTATTTATTTATATCAGTATGGATTTGGGGATTCTTATTTTATTCAGTGAGTTATTATTCTTTACTATTATTACTCACTTTGATGCTCATATTCCCCAGATTTGGCCAAAGGGACTCCTTCAAGTGGATCCCTGTGTCCCTCATGCTTTGAGCACAACTTCCTGTCTGGCACAACCAGAGGTTTTGGCCTCCTCTTTGACTTTTCTTTTCCCAGACCTGGAATCAGCTTTTTCTCCAAGAAGCCTTCTGGAACTTATTTGATTTCTGTTTTCTGGAGAGCAGTGGAGGTCCCCGAAAGGACAGCTGCCATGTCTATCCTCCTCATCATGTGGCCTAGTTGGCATGCACTTCAAGTTCTCTCAGGGCCTATATAGTTTTATAATTTACAGTAATAATAATCTTACTTGTTATCTACATCATCTCCATGTTTACCTTCTTGTATTTACTTCTTTTTCATTAAAGATTCAACAATACATAGGCACATGCACAGTTATATATATATGTGTATATATGTATATAAATATATATATATTTAATTTTTTTTGAGACAGAGCCTCACTCTGTCACCCAGCAGGCTGGAATGCAGTGGCATGATCTCAGCTCACTGCAGCCTCCTCCTCCTGGGTTCAAGCGATTCCCCTGCCTCAGCCTCCTGAGTAGCTGGGATTACAGGTACAGGCCACCACGCCAGGCTAGTTTTTGTATTTTGGGTAGAGACAGGGTTTCACCATGTTGGCCAGGCTGGTCTCAAACTCCTGACCTCAGGTGATCTGCCTGCCTCGGCCTCCCAAAGTGCTGGGATTACAGGCGTGAGCCACCAAACCCAGCCACAGTTATAGAAAGTAAAAACTACAGACCATAATACTGGAAGAATGGACACCACAGGCTTAGCCAAGGCTTTCCCCAGAGAGCCAGATGAAGAAGCAGTCCAGAAGGGGTCAGGGTCTTGCTGCAACCTCCAACTCTATGCTCAAGCAATCCTCCTGCCTCAGCCTCCTGAGTAGCTGGGACTACAAGCATGCACTGCCACACCTGGCCTTTTTTTTTTTTAGTAGAGATGGGGGTCTTTCTATGTTGACCAGGGTAGTCTTGAACTCCTGGTCTCAAGCTATCCTCCCACCTCGGCCTTCCAAAGCGCTGGGATTATATGCGTGAGCTACCATACCCAGCCTACCACTCTCTTGTTTTTGCAAATAAAGCTTTCTTGAAATACAACCACACCTTTGGTTTACTTATTATGGCTGGTTGCTTTCACCCTGCAAAAGGAGAGGTGAGTAGTTGTAACAGAGATCATGTGGCCCACAAAACCTAAAATATTTACTATCTGGAGTTATATGGTAAAAGTTTGCCAATTTCTGGTTTAGATGAACAGATGCTGAGAACGCAAATTTATAAGGGGAGCTAAACAGTAATGAAATAAATGAGAAATGAGAAACCTGGTGCCTGTTAATTCTGGCTCCCACATACTATTTAGAATAGCCTTGCTCCTCACATGAGGTGAGTTTATAGAGTCGACAGGTAAAGCAAAAATCACACACACACACACATGCATTCTAGAAAGTCTCCTGAAAAGTTAGCATGTTAGAGACTGATATACCATTTCTCACCGAGATTCCTGCACAGTCAGTTTTAGCAGCATCTACAAATCTGTGTTGAGGGTTTCGACAATGTACACATGCTACTACTATAGGCAGCATCACCGCTCCTGAAAACAGCAGGCTCTAATCTGCTGTGTAATCAACTGCAATTTTGAAACCAAATCACATATGGGCTAGCAGTGTTTACAGGGGATAAATTATTAAAAACCCTAGAATAGCATTTTCCAGAAGCTCTCTCATTTGGAAAATTGCAGAAGAAAATTGAAGTGGGAAATGTTTTGCCAACATGAAAGCTAGAGGGAAAAAGACACCCAACTTTTAAACCTATTCAACATAGAGATATATAGAGATTTTATATATCTATATTCTTGGGAACTACCTCAATTATTAGTGAGTGCCATAAGTACCACCCAACTATGAGTGGTTAAAGAACTGATTGGAAAGACTGCTCCAAATGTACTTGACATGCTCTCCTGTAATGAATACAGCGATGAGGCACCATTTCATACCCACTAGATCGGCAAAAACCATAAGTTGGACAACACCCAGTGATGATCAGGATATGGAGACTTGAGAACGCTTACACATTGCTGGTGGGAGGGAAGTTGATAAAACCACTTTGAAGAGCAATTTGAGAGGGACTAGTAAAGGTAAAATGCGCCCACCCCACCACCCAGTAATTTAGCTTCTGTTTAGCTAACCTAGAACAGCAATTCTGAACATGTGACCCCCAACCCCAGGAGGATTTCTGAGATGCTTCCAAGGACACCTGCAAGGTCAAAACTATTTTCAGAACAAAACTAGGAAACCAAGTGTGCTGGCTCACACCTGTAATCCCAGCACTTTGGGAAGCTGTGGCAGGAAGAGGATTGCTTGAGGTCAGGAGTTCGAGACCAGCCTAGCCAACATAGCGAGACCCCTGTCTCTCTCTATATAAATAAATAAATAAAAGAACAAACACTAAGATGTTATTTGTCTTTTCTGCTGTGACAACATTTGCACTGATGACGTTCAAGTGATAGTGCCTTAGCATGCAGCAAGGCAGTGGCCTTAACCTGCACCAATTGTCACTGTCATGCCCTTCAGTAAACAAAACAAAGACAAAAACCAGTTTTACTGAAGGATGTTCTTGATGGAGCAGTAGAATTTTTAAAATGTAGAAATCTCGACCCTGGTTACTTATTTTGAATGTTCTGCATGAGGAAATGGGAATTGCACGTAAACCCCTTCTGCTGAATACTCAAGAGGAAAGCACACGGGGGAATGTGTGTGTTGAAAGATGAACTAGCCCAGCGCGCTGGCTCACGCCTGCAATCCCAGCAATTTGGGAGGCCGAGGCAGGTGGATCACGAGGTCAAAAGTTCGAGACCAGCCTGGCCAACATGGTGAAACCTGGTCTTTACTAAAAATACAAAACTTAGCTGGGCATGATGGCACCCACCCGTAGTCCTAGCTACTCGGGAAGCTGAGGCAGGAGAATCACTTGAGCCTGGAAATCGGAGGTTGCAGTGAGCCAAGATCGTGCCACTGCACTCCAGCCTGGCGACAGAACGAGACTCTGTCTCAAAAAATAAAAAAAAGAAAGATGAACTGGCCACTTTTTTCACAGAACGTTATTTTTTCTTGAAAGAACAATGGACATACCGTGGTTATTCAAATTGGGGTATTTGGGAGATATTTTCTGAGAAAGGAAGAGAGCTTGTCAATTCAATGACAAAATTTGAGCTTTCAAATTGTGGGAAACTTGGACCTGCTGCCTCGTGAGCTTGACAGCTTCTCAATAGCTAAAGTTCTCCTGATAAAATCAAAGGTGCTATCAGGTAAGGCTGGCATGGTGGCTCACATCTGCAATCCCAGCACTCTGGGAGGCCAAGGCAGACCAGCCTGGGCAAAATGGTGAAACCCGTCTCTACTAAAAATACAAAAAATTAGCTGGGTGTGGTGGTGCACACCTGTGGTCCCAGCTACTTGGGAGGCTGAGGCAGGAGAATCGCTTGAGCCAGGAGGTGGAGGTTGCAGTGAGCTGAGATCCCGCCACTGAACTCCAGCCTAGGTGACAGAGTGAAACTCTGTCTTAAAAAAAATTAAAATTTTTTTTAAAAGGTGATGTTAGTGAATGCATTTTTTGTGTGTGTGATATTGTGTAGTAAAGTGTGCCAGCATCTGACAGATTTGCAGGACTGGGTGAACTAATATTTTCCAAATGATCAATGTAGGATGTTACAAAAATCACAGGTAAAAGATCTTTTCAAGGTACAAGATAGATCAATGCCTTTTAACGTAATAGAGCACAAAATGAGCACTAATATGGTTTCACATGTTACACTGCAACCAATCTTTAAGAAACTACCACTTGTTAAGTGAGTATTATCAAAAAATATCCACAATGATCTGAAAAGACTCTTAAGTTGCTTCTCTCCTTTCCAACTATGTAGCTTTGTGAGGCCAAATTTTCTTCATAGGCTTCGGCCAAAACAACATAGCACAGTAAACAGAGAGCTTTGTGAAAATGAAGAACAACACTGCTACCACTTATCTTACTAAATTTTTTTATTTTAAAGAAGTTACTTTTCATAACAATATGTTATTTATATTGACATGAAATAGATGTGTTGTTATTTCAAATAAATGAATAAAATTTTTAAAATTCTCAGTTGTAATTTCTAAACTGTTAACTATGGTATTTGTTGATAGATATAACTCCCTTCAACGAAAGTTCTTTGTGGCCTTCATTAATTGTTAAGAGTGTAAGGGAAGACCAGGTGTGGTGGCTCACACCTATAATCCCAGCACTTTGGGAGCCCAAGGCAGGCGGATCACCTGAGGTCAGGAGTTCAAGACCAACCTGGGCAACATGGCGAAACCCCATCTCTACTAAAAATACAAAAAATTAGCTAGATGTGGTGGAGGGCATTTGTAATCCCAGCTACTCCGGAGGTTGAGGCAGGAGAATGGATTGAACCCGGGAGGCAGAGGTTGCAGTGAGCTGAGATAGCATTCCAGCCTGGGCAACAAGAGTGAACTCGGTCTCAAAAAAAAAAAAAGAATGTAAAGGAATCCTGACATCAAAAGGTTTGATGAGTGCTGCCATAGAAATCAAACTCTCCCACAAATTCACAGGGAGATCTGCAGGAAACTCACCAGGACATTGTTTGAAATAATGGAAAAATGAGAGTAGAACTGTCCTGCAGTAGAAGAAAGGATTGATAAGCTGTAATTTAGTCATATAATGTCATAATAATTCACAACTGAAATAAATAAATCTATATGCATAAATATAAATAAATTTTTAAAAATCACAAGATTTAAAAAGTAAATTGCAAGAGACTATAATTTGATGCTATTTATATTAATATTAATTAATAAATTCATTTAATTGCATGACTGAAATTATTTATGGATATATGCACATATAATAAATATATTAAAACATGCCTGGAAATGATTGTTAACACCTTCAAGATAGTGATTTCTTTTTTTTTTTTTTTTTGAGACAGAGTCTCACTCTGTCATGCAGGCCGGAGTGCAGTGGTGTGATCTCGGCTCACTGTAACGTCTGCCTCCTGGGTTCAAGCGATTCTCCTGCCTCAGTCTCCCGAGTAGCTGAGATTACAGGCACCCACCACCACACCCAGCAAATTTTTCTATTTTTAATGGACACGAGGTTTCACCATGTTGGCCAGGCTGGTCACAACTCCTGACCTCAAGTGATCTGCCCGCCTCAGCCTCCCAAATTGCTGGGATTATAGGCGTGAGCCACCGCGCCTGGCAGATAGTGATTTCTTTCAGGACAAGTAGGCAAGAAAAATGTAAGAGAATATGGCTTAGACTATTTAAGTAGATTTACAACATTTCTTTTCTTTTCTTTTTTTTTTTTTTTTTTTTGAGACAGGGTCTAGCTCTGTTGCCCAGGCTGGAGTGCAGTGGTGCCATCATGGCTCACTGCAGTTGAACCTTCTCGGGCTCAAGCAATCCTCCCAGCTCAGTCTCTGAGTACCTGGGACTACAGGTACGTGGCACCACGCCCAGCTAATTTTTAATTTTTCATAGGGACGGGGTTTCACCATGTTGCCCGGACTGGTCTCAAACTTCTGGGCTCAAGCAATCCTCTTGTCTCAGCCTCCCAAAGTGCTGGAATTACAGGCATGAGCCACTGCACCCGGCCCCACAACATTTCTTAAAAACTAAACACCTAAAGTAAGTTAACGTAGGTACATAGGAATTTGTTTATATTGTTTTCTATAACCTTCCATATATTTCAATTATTTTGTAATTGAAAACAAAACATCTTCAGTGCTTGCTTATAAATTGCTTATTTTGAAACAGAGGATATACTGTTTTTGTTTTTGTTCAGTAAGTATCAGTTTCTCTCCACTCCCAATAAAGAAATATTGAATGTGTGCTTGAAGAATACCAGTGTAACCTGTTAATTCTTACTCTGCCTGGGATGCCCCGACATTTTCCTCTGGCCTTGTGATTAGGAAGTAGAATGTAGAGGAAGAATTTCAGTTTCTCTGTATTGTTTTAGTTTTTTTAGTACAATAAGTTTTATTCAGGAAAAAAAATTAACTAAGTGTCCATTGTGAAAATAGCAAAAAGTTATGTTCTTTTGCTTTCACATTTAGATAATGTTGGGACCACACTCTTCATCCCGCCATGTAAGCTGTTTTTTTCATATAACCTTTATTTTTCAATGTCATTAGTTAATCTTTGATACTGCTATTTTCATGGCTGCCTAAATCCCATTTTACAAGGTGCCATAAGTGCTAACAAATCTTTCTTTTATTTTTAGTCGCTTTGGCTGCTTCTAGTTTGGTCGTTTTGTTGTTATAAACAAAACTGTGATGAACGTCTTTGTACATCGTCTTCATCTTCACTTTTTACTATTTCCTGAAATCTTATTGTTACTCCCCTTGGGCAAAGAATTCAGCCTTCCTGAGCCCCAGGCAGGACCAAAGTGTTTCTTAGCAAGGGGTGATATATATTCCCCCAGGACACTTGGCAATGTCTGGAGACATTTTGGGTTGTCACACTGGAGGATGGAGGGGCAGGTGTTACTACTGGCATGCAGTGGATAGAGTCCAGAGATGCTGCTAAACATCCTACCATACACAGGACCTCCCAGAACAAAGAATTATCTGACCCAGAATGGCAACAGTACTGAGGTTGACAAATCCTGCAATAGAATCATCACTAAAGTTCCTTCCTGCCCTGGAAATTACCGGGGACTTCTGGAAGTACTCATTGTCTGAAAGGGGATGGAGGATGTGTCCTCACCAAGGATTAAGAGCTCTTGAGGTACATGGGCCTGGGGCATTTCCCAAACCGCTCTGACTCCTGCAGTCACCTCGGGCCTTTGTTAAACAAAAACTCTCCCTGGAGTGTCTGGGTTGTGGTGGCTCACATGCCTGTAATCCTAGCACTTTGGGAGGCCCAGGAGGGTGGATTGCCTGAGCTCGGGAGTTGGAGACCAGTCTGGGCAACATGGTGAAACCCTGTCTCTATTAAAAATATAAAAATTAGCCAGGAGTGGTGGCACCTGCCTGTAATCCCAGCTACTGGGGAGGCTGAGGCATGAGAATCACTTGAACCTGGGAGGTGGAGGTTGCGGTGAGCCAAGATCGAGCCACTGCACTCCAGCCTGGGCAACAGAGTAAGACTCTGTCTCAAATAAATAAATAAATAAATATAAAATAAAAAATAAAAATTCAGGATGGTATCCCAGGATTCTGTGCCTTTACCAAGTGCCCCAGGTGAATCTAAGGCAGGCCCTGGTTAGCGCTATGGCTCCCACTTGCCTGATCTTCAAAATCTCTTGGGAGCGGGGGTATTTCTAAAGCAAGGTTTGGAGTGACGTAAAAGAATCTGCATTGTTTTATTTTGGTTTGTTGGTTTGTTTTAAGCTCCAAAGGTGATTCTGATGAATCCAGCTTAGAAGCTTACATCAGCTTTGGAGGAGATCTGTGGGAGTTACCTGGGCGCCCCATTCACTCATTCATTCCTTCATTTATTTACAAGGTGATAGGATTAAAGAGATGACTTAGACATAGTGTCTGCTGTCAAGGACTCAAGATCTAATGGAGACATGGACCCATTAGCAGCTCGTTTACAATTCAACTGCCTGTGACAAAAGCAGGAACAAAATTTTTTGAGAGCACAGAGGAGGGAGGGGCCCACTGTTTCTGAGGGCTTCATGGAGGAGGCTGATCTTTGCAGTGGGTCTTAAAGGAACAAAAGGGAGATTTGAGGAGGAATCCTGTATTCTTGAGGGCAGAAACAGTGGAAAGAGGCCACAGGGCCACAAAAGCAGGGGAGAGAACTTGGCCCCTCTCGCACAGTTGGCATTTTCAAGAGAATCTGAAACTGGACAATGCAAATGGTAGGAAGTCTCACTTGTGCAAAAGTTTTGAAAGGAGGCAGATCCTACTTTATATCTATTCCTGGGGGAAAACTTGTCATGAATTCTGTGAGTTTGAAATTAGAAGCAGTTTGCAAGAATGCGGCACTCACATAAAAACGGGCCTGCCCAGAACTGAGCACCTACTGCATGCCAGGACCTGTGCTCTGGGATCCGAGGAGGCATAAGGCCCAGCCCCACCCTGGTGAGCTCACAGCCAGGTGGACATACATCCCCTGTCCTCCTCCTTTCCCACTCCTGCCTCTGATCTGAGTCAGGCTGGGAAAAGGGCAGCAGGAGGAAACCACCAGGAGTCTACCAAAGAGAGGCAGGAATGGGGTAGGCTGGACTGGGGCTAGATGGAGAGTGTGGTTTACCCAGGGACTTACAGTATCTTACAGCATCTGAAAGAGGGGTGGAGCTCCCTAGGGCAGAGGAGCTACAGTAGCCTGCTGCTGGAAGGCACAATTGTTCATTTCCTGTCCAAGGCTTGGCAATACCATTGCTCTTGTCCTCTGAGCACCACCTTTTTGTTGCTTAATTCAGTCAGTAGATAACTTTTTGAGCAGCTACTACACAGAGCCCTGTTCTATGCACAAGGGCCATATCAGTGAACAAAAGAGGTCCAAATCCCTGCCCTCAAGAACTTATATTTGTGTAGGAGGAGTTAGACCATAAAGAAAATAAATAGGTATAAAAGAATTAATTGGGCCAGGCGTGGTGACTCATGTCTGTAATCCCAGCACTTTGGGAGGCTGAGGTGGGCGGATCACCTGAGGTCAGGAGTTTGAGACCAGCCTGGCCAACATGATAAAACTCCATCTCTACTAAAAATACAACAATTAGCTGCGTGTGGTGGTGGGCGCCTGTAATCCCAGCTACTTGGGAGGCTTAGGCAGGAGAATCGCTTGAACCCAGGAGGCGGAGGTTGCAGTGAGCCAAGATCACACCACTGCACTCCAGCCTGGTTGACAGAGCAAGACTCCATCTCAAAAAAAAAAAAAAAAGAAAAAAGGAAAAAAAGAATCAATTGGGAGGCCATTAGGCTGAGATAGCTCCAAAGTGCCTTGGGTTCCTAAGTAAACAACTGAAACCCAACTCAAAGGGCCATAGCCCAAGAAAACACAAGTGAATAGACTAGGTACAGTGGCTCATGCCAGTAATCCTAGCACTCTGGGAGGCTGAGGCAGGAGGATCTTCTGAGGCCAGTTCAGGACCAGCCTGGACAACATAGTGAGACCCAGTCTCTACAAAAAAATAAAAATAAAAAATTTAAACATTAATAAAAAGAAAACACAAGCTTAACCAATCAGAAACTGCCAACAAACCTCTAACTAGAGAGTTTCACAATCAGAAACCAACTAATCTCTGAGATTTTCCACTTTAGTCATTCAAATCTTTTCTGTCCTGCTTCTGCAAATACTTTATAAAAGTTTTCACCTGGCTGGGCGCGATGGCTCACGCCTGTAATCCCAGCACTTTGGGAGGCTGAGGCGGGCAGATTATGAGGTCAGGAGTTCAACACCAGCCTGACCAACAAGGTGAAACCCCTTCTCTACTAAAAATACAAAATTAGCTGGGTGTGATGGCGGGCACCTGTAATCCCAGCTACTCAGGAGGCTGAGACAGGAGAATTGCTTGAACCTGGGAGGCAGAGGGTGCAGTGAGCCGAGATCACGCCACTGTACTCCAGCCTGGGTAACAGAGTGAGTCTCTGTCTCAAAAAAAAAAAAAAAAAAAAAAAACACAAAAGTTTTCACCTTGCACCCCCTCAGTGGAGCCCTGAACCACTTGGGGTCTAACGCAGACTGACTCATGAATCGCTGTTTGCTTCAATAAACTCTTTAAAATTGTAATGTGCCTGTTTGTCTTTTAGTACAGGCAGTTTCTACAGTGTAGTAGAAGGAGAAAAAGAAAGCCCAGGTGGGACAGGGGATGCTGGCTGGGGTGTGTGTGTGTGTGTGTGTGTGTGTGTGTGTGTGTGTGTGTATATACTTAGCTGCACAAATTAGGGAAAGCCTCACTCAGAAGATGACACTTGAGGATTTCTTTAAATCTCATGCAACTGTCTCCAGTCATATTTACACGTGTATGTTTGCATGAAGAGTTTTTTTGTTTTTGTTTTTGTTTTTGAGACAGAGTCTCACTTTGTCACCCCAGGTGGAGTGCAGTGGCACGATCTCAGCTTACTACAACCTCTGCCTCCTGGGTTCAAGCGATTCTCCTGCCGAGGCCTCCCAAGCAGCTGGCACTATAGGCATGTGCCAGAATGCCCGGCTAATTTTTGTATTTTTAGTAGAGACGGGGTTTCACCACGTTGACCAGGCTGGTTTCAAACTCCTGACCTCAGGTGATCCATCCGCCTCGGCCTCCCAAAGTGCTGGGATTACAGGTGTGAGTCACCATGCCTGGCCTGAAAGAGTATTTTCTCAGCAAGATTAGAAACTCCTCTAGAGGCAGAAACCATCTTGCCTGCCTCTTCCATTGTGTAGCAGAGTTGGGCTCCTCGTGAATATTTAAAAACATTTTCTGGATGAATGAATGAAAAAGAAATGAATGAATAAATAAAAATGGAATGAATGAAGAAAAAAAAAGTCTTGCCATCTTGAAATTGGGTGTCTCATCCCGCTGTTCCAGAATCTTTGCATTCGCTGCCCTGGCCCAGCCAGAGACCCTCCCTTTTACAGTGGGAAAAAACAAATGCATCTTGGGAAGAGGAAAACCCAGGGTGGGATGGGGCAGGAAGGGTTGGGCAGGGAGGGGAGGGGTGAGGTGGAGGACGTAGAGAGGAGAAGGAAGAGCAAGAAGAACCAGAAGGGGAGAAAACAAAAGATCAATAAGACCAGCCAGGAGGTGACAGCAGCCAGCCAGGGAGCACTCGTCCCTTGATTAGAATTCATGAACTCCCTTCTTACATTAAGTCTTTATATGACACCTGGCCTTTGATGCAAAGCTGGCTGCGAACATTAAAAATTAAAAGCCGAAGGTAGGCTACATCCATCTCTGATAGCTCAGCTCCCCTCCTATCTGAGGCCTGCACAAAGCTATTACACATTGATAAATTATTTTGGGTAATAGCCGAGATATTACATTGTTTCTGAGTGAAGCTAAAATCTCTCCCTGACACGGGCATTTATCAGGAGTGCCTTTCATCCTATTTATTATGGGCCAGATGAGCGTGGGGCTGTGGCCGGCTGGGGTGCTGGGCTGGGACCGTTTTCCCCCATCCCCTCCCTCTCCCTCTATCACTCCCTTGATGGGGTATTGATGGGGTTTGTGACAAGTTAATTATTAGCTAAAGATACGCAGATCACCGTAAAAGGGTCGGGCACCTGGGGAAGAGAGAAGTTCGGTTATTGAACAGTCAGATCCCTTCCAGGCCTGTTGTGCAGAAGCCTTAGTTCCAGGCCTGGGCCTGGTCCCACTTGGTAACCCTGAGTCCAGCCAATCAGAATTGCTGAAAGCCAGGCAGCCAGGCCCCACTCCGTGGTGTGTGCCTGTAATTCTGTAATCCCAGGTACTCAGGAGGCTGAGGTAAGAGGGTCGCTTGAACCCAGGAGTTTGAGACCAGTTGGGGCAACATAGTGAGACTCCATCTCTAAAAAAAAAAAAAAAAAAAAAAAAAAAAAAAAAAAATTATTTATAAAAAATGTCATTCGAGTTGATAAAAAAAGAATTGCTGAATATTTGTTCCATAAAAGGGTAGGGGTTAGGGGGCTTGGAGGGCTTAACCGCGCATACCAGCAACACACCCAGCAAAGGTGCATCCAGATCCTTAGTCTGCACTAGAAGCACGGCCTCCTGCTGCAGAGCCCAACACTGGTAATGTCTGCTCCTTCTGCCCTTCCTTCTCCTTCTCCAGCCTGCACACAATCACCCCAAACTCCGTGACAGTGTCCTCTGTACTGATGGTGTAAGGGAAAGAGGCAGCCTTTGGAACCTGGGTGTGCTCATTGGCTACTCGCTGAAACTGTCTCCATTTCCTCTTCATGTGATGGGGTGTGATGATAATGTCAGCCTCTAGGGGTCGCTGTTATAAAGTGTTTCCTCAGGATTGGCTGGGCATCCCTGTGGAGGCTCCTGGGTGGAGTGGGAGACTGGATTGACACGTGTGCACAGATGGAATGCCATGGAGTAGTAGCAGCTGTCAGGATTGGCTGCTTGGCGTGGGCTACTCAGGGGTCATCCATCCACAATCCCTTTTGGAAGAAGCATTCCTTCCAGAAATATTACAGACTGCCTTCTATCTTCTAGGCATGGTGCTAAGGGCTGAGTAGAGAATAATGAACGTAACAGATCTGGTTCCTGTTCCCCACCTGGGCACAGTCTAATGGAATGGGCCTCCTGTCCCCAAAAGAGAATCAAGTGCTCTGTATGATTTTTGTCCCCGGGGGTAGGTTCACTCATGGTAGGTCCAGCCCCGGATCTGAGTCATCTCCCACTCCCATGGAGTATTTGGCACATAGTGGGTGTCAACTAATATTTTTGGAATGAATGGATGGATGTTGGAATTAGGCAGTGTTGAGCCGCAGGTGGACAGGTGTATGCTTGCTGAGCCTCACGGAGGCTGGAGGTATGATTAGGGCCTTCTTTCTAGGAAAGAAAGGCTGTTGGCTTAGCTTGGGGGAACTGTCCATCTCCAAGCTCCAGCCAGGTAAAGAGACAACCCAGCAAAAAGGAAAGAAGTGTCCATTGTCACTGGATGTAAGCTAGGCAATGAAGTTCCCCATTGTTGCTGGCAGAGCCAGAGTGACTGTTCTCTTTTCTGGCATTTTTGCTTAATGACCAGACATCTGCAGAACCTGCCAACCAGCAGGAGGTGGAGGGGAAGGTCACCCCAGAGCATACCCCAACCCCGGACCCAGCTTCCTACTCTATGTGGGAGGTGGCCCAGAGTGGAGGGCAGGCAGGTGCTGGAGGAATCCTGGGAAGGGTTGGGCTCAGGTGTCATGCAGTCATGCTACATAAATCTGGCTGGCCATGTCTCTAGTCTGCACCCCTCTAGGGGCCCTCCCGAACTTGGGTGGGGCCTACTGCCTCTCAATTCTGGCTTCAGCCTTGGCTGCTGTCTTTCTAGTCTCCCGACTGCATCTCTGCCAACCAGGACCAGCCCTGCCCCACCCTGTCCCCAACCCTGCTTCCCAACGCCCAGCAAGGACGTCTGGACCTTGATGATGGGCATGGGACTTGGGCATCTCTGAGAGTGCCGGCCCCTGATTGGCTATGTTGTGGATTCAGCTGTCGGGCTGACTCAGCTCCTTCTTGATGGAGTGTTTTCTTGTTAAAAGAAGCATGAGTCTAAAACAGTAATTCCCAGACTCTGTGTGGGCTGTTCCCTTCTCCAGCCATCGCTGTCCACTGCTGAGAGTGGGCCTTGTTCAGCAAGTGTGATGAGGCAGATTAAAGACCAAGACCCTACTTTAAAAAGTTCAATATATACCCAGGAAGCAGAAGTTGCAGTGAGCCGAGATCGCACCATTGCACCCCTGCCTGGGCAACAGAGCAAGACTCCATCTCAATAAATAAATACATACGTACATACATACATTTTTAAAAAAAGTTTAATATATAAAACAAAATGAAAGGCCAACCGGGAAAGACCTTCTAGGATTAGCTCAATGACAGAGTGGTACACAATAATGATGACGATGATGATGATGACGATAGCAGCTAACACCTACTGAGTGTTCGCCATGTGCCAGGTACTATAATAAGCAATTTGTATTCAGTCTTGCATTTAATCCTCATAAAAACCCAGGAAGTTGGTATTACAGAGGCTCAGAGAGATCCGCAGTGAGGGTAGAGATGGGATTTGACCCTGGGTCTAACTCTACACCAAATGCTCTTAACTATTCACTGGAAAGGATATTTGTTGTTATTGTTGTTGTTGCTGTTTTTGAGATGTCACCCAGGCTGGAGTGCAGTGGTGCGATCTTGGCTCACTGCAACCTCTGCCTCCCAGGTTCAAGCGATTCTCCTGTCTCAGCCTCCTGAGTAGCTGGGGCTACAGGTGCACGCCGCCACGCCTGGCTAATTTTTTGTATTTTAGTAGAGGTGGGGTTTCACCGTGTTGCCCAGACTGATTTTGAATTCTTGAGCTCAGGCAATCCACCCATCTCGGCCTCCCAAAGTGCTAGGATTACAGGCGTGAGCAACCACGCTTGGCCTGTTGTTGTTGTTTTTGAGACGGAGTCTCGCTCTGTTGCCCTGGCTGGACTGCAGTGGTGCCATCTCTGTTCACTGCAACCTCCGCCTCCTGGGTTCAAGAAATTCTCGTGCCTCAGCCTCCCGAGTAGCTGGGATTACAGGCTCCTGCCACCATACCCGGCTGATTTTTGAGATTCTAGTAGAGAGGGGGTTTCACCATGTTGGCTAGGCTGGCCTTGAGCTCCTAACCTCAAGTGATCCGCCTGTCTCCACCTCCCAAAGTGCTGGGACTACAGGCATGAACCACCACACCTGGCCACTGGAAAGGATCTTAGTGACCAGCCACTCTATCTCTTCATTTTCTGTAGGAGGAAACTGAGGTCCAAAGAGGGAAACCTGTCACCTAGAATCAGTGGCAAAGCTGCAACTGGGTTCTAAGTGTCCTAATTCCAAATCTAAAGCTTTTCTCTGTGAACTAGAAACACAGCTCTCCTTTCCTCCCTCCTGTCCCTCCAAGGCCGAGGGAGATCATAAAGGCAGGGAGAAAGGGAACCCAGGGCCAGAAGAGCCGGGATCTGGATGTGAGCGAAACGATGCCAAACACATAGGCATAGGCTTGAGCCCCAGGGAGCTCAGGGGGGCTGGTTTTAAAGATAGGAGCAGGGGTCCGGAGCCAGCAGAGCAGCTGGAGATGGGGCACATGCAGGTTCCTGAGGGTCATGGTGGGTCAGGATCCAGAAAAGCAACGAAGACCACAACTAGGGGGCCTTGGTGTTTAGAAAACTTTGAAAAGAAGCTGAAGAACCAGGCATCTGCGGAGGCAGGAAAGACCCCAGGGCCTGAGACAGAGCCACCCAAGGAATGCAAGAGACCTAGGCAGGTGCTGGCAGCAAGCAAACAGAAATCGAGGGGGCATCGTGAGGCCCAGGGGTGAGATGAGTGTCCTTATGACCGACAGCAGAAAAAAATAGAGGCAGCCAAGCTGGAGGGACGGGGGCACTAACAAGACATGAGGACCTGGGGCCACTGCCTTGCACAACCTGCCCGAGTGTCTGCAGCAACCTGACTGAGAGCCAGCGGCCTGCCCTGGGGTGGTTTCTTGGTTCAGAGTTGATGGTGGGGGAAGGAAACAGAGGTCAAGAGTATCTTAGAAGTTTTTTCCAAGCATTTAATAAATATTTTTCCTTTGTGATAGTCACAAGTAACTTCTGTGAATATTTAAATTGTTTTAATAACTTTTTTTTTTTTTTTTGAGATGGAGTCTTGCTCTGTTGCCCAGGCTGGAGTGCAGTGGCATAATCTCGGCTCACTGCAACCTCTGCCTCCTGGGTTCAAGTGACTCTCATGTCTCAGCCTCCGAGTAGCTGGGATTATAGGCATGTGACACCATGCCTGCCTAATTTTTGCATTTTAGTAGAGACGGGGTTTCGTCATGTTGGTCAGGCTGGTCTCAAACTTGCCTCGGCCTTCCAGACTGCTGGGATTATAGGCATAAACCACCGTGCCCGGCCTGTTTTAATCACTTTTTCATCAGCCTTCTTCTTAAGGGAAATTTGTGTTGAGACCCGCGTGGGAGCTGGAATGTTTGAGGTTGTATTTTTAATAAAATACATAATAACAAAATAACAATAACAAAAATGTAAATAACAAAACAACAAAAATACATAATAAAAGGTAGAAATAATAAAAGGATGTAATATTTGTATACCTACACCTATGCCTAGTATTGCTCCCTTTCTGCACATTATAAATTTTTTTTTTTGAGATGGAGTCTCGCTCTGTCGGCTGGGCTGGAGTATAGTGGCTCACTGCAAGCTCCGCGTCCTGGGTTCACGCCATTCTCCTGCCTCAGCCTCCCAAGTAGCTGGGACTACAGGCGCCTACCACTGCGAGCAGCTAATTTTTTTGTATTTTTTTAGTAGAGATGGGGTTTCACCCTGTTAACCAGGATGGTCTCGATCTCCTGACCTCGTGATCTGCCAGCCTTGGCCTCCCAAAGTGCTGGGATTACAGGTGTGAGCCACCGCACCCGGCCTATACATTTGTTTATTTATTTTTATTTTTTATAGAGATGGGGTCTCTACATATGGGGTTTCTCTATGTTGCCCAGGCTGGTCTTGAACTCCTGGCTTCACGTGCTCTTCCTGCCTTGGCCTTTCAAAGTGCTAGCCATCATGCCCGGCCATTTATATTATAAATTTAAAACTAATATTTAAAAAATGTTGGTAAGGAGCGCTATATGGTATAGAAAGAACATGTTTACCTTGAATTTCCCTCTCATCGGGGCTTGCCAGCATCCTCAGAGGTCTTTCCACCTTTGGAAGGAATGCTGCACCCAGCTAGGAAGGGGTGTGTGTTCTCTACTTCACAGTGGTAGACAGCCCTGGAAAGACACTTCCCACATCAGATCGGCAAAGGAATTGTAATCATTTGGGATGCATAAGCAGGCCATGTTGCATCTAAAGTCTTCAATAATTCTGCACATTCCTAATCTGTGCAATATTTCAAGTGGCTGGGTTTTAGACTTGGCTATTTAGAGTTAATGCTGCTACGGGGGTGGGGCAGGGTGGGGGAGAGGGGGAAGTAAGGAGGAGGGGTGACGAATTTCTACAAACCCAGTGCCTCTGCACCCAGAACCTGGTAAGGGGGCAGTGGTCAGAGGGAAACAGAGAGAAAGATATCAAGTGTAGTAATCAGTATGAAAAATGGAGCCGCGGTTACTTTAAACAAGAGCTAATTCATCACAAGAACGAGTGGATAAGTAGCTGAGTTTCAGGCGTTCAGTAAGTTCCCCGTTCTGCTCCAAAAATTATTCCGCCCCTGTCTGCACGCTCCCATAAATCATCCCTTCTTCACATCAGCTCCGATTACCAATTACTCCTGCCTGTAACATGCATTCCTTGCCCAACCCCATCTGATGGGGCCCTGCCTTTTAATTTTACAAATGCTTTTTTTCCCCCACTTTACTTTCTTCTTTCTCCTTCAGTCCTTCCCCTCCCCCAGCCTTCCATTCTCTGGCTGTCTTCTCTTTTTCTGTCTTTGTCATCTCTCCTTTGCACAATGCCCCTCCTCTCTTTGCTTCAGCCCCTGGCCAACCTGGCCATTCGCAGTGGTGCTTTGGGAAGCGGAGTGAGGAACTGCCTTGGGCAGTGGTGGCACCTGGAGCACCTGGGAAAGATGTGAGAAGGGTGTACAGCTCTCCCCTTCCAAACTTGAGAGACATTTGTCCCCAGCCTGCTTCTTGGTCTGTAGGCTTGGACACAGTTTGAGTCTGGGGTTCTCCTAACCTGTTAGAAAGGGCATCCCATTCTCCCCAGAGGAAAGATTTCCACTCCCCCTGGCTCCTGGCATGACAACAATGGTCATAATAAATACTTATCATGAGAAGTACTGGCTGCTGACAATGTTTGAAGGACAAAGGTAGACAGTCTCTGCAGGGCTCTAAAAACTCCTTTAGAAGAGGCCCTGCCTTCCAGCCCAGCTTCTGCTGCTGACATAGAATCACTCAAACTTCAGTCGTTATTGTATCACTTGCACAATTATTGCCACATTTTGGTACCGTATTTTCTTAAAATCAACTTTAAATTAGCTCAGCTCTCAAAAACTTAACTTTGTTCTATGCAAAAATTCATGAACTCATGTGCTTAAACGGATAGTTACATTTTCCCCCATACCTATGGAAATAAATGCTGAGTTACTATACCAGTGAACTTAACTTTATACCAACTGAAATTGTCTTGAGATCTTCTATCGCACGTGTGTCATGCTTTGGCTAAAGCATCAGTCCCTCCTGCACACTCAGAGATGTGGCATGATGGGGACATGGGACCAAGATTCAGAAAGTGTCAGCAGCTCAGACTTGTGCAGACTTCACTGTGCCCTAGAAGCCCCAGGAGCCTGATAAGATGCCAGTTCCAGCCCTACCTTCAGGAACTCCGATTTGGGAGTTCTAGGATATGGCCCACGCCCGGAAACCTGGAGTTGGACACATACCCCCAGGTGTCTCTGACCATGCTTTGAGAAATACTGGTCTATCCTGGGCTTCAAACCTAATTTACTTGGTGACCTTAGGAAAATCACTTATTTTTCCATTTTGTAATTGCTTAAACTGGGAGAACCTTAACTGTTCTTCCTACCTCATAGAGGTCAGAGAAGGTCAAAACTTGACAAGCTAAGTAGCGGATGGATTTTGACAGGTGCCCAGTTCTGTTGAGATGGGACGCACAGGTGTGGCTTGTTTCCTTCAGCATCTGCGGGACAGAGATCCAGCTCCACCCATGGGTATTTGCATACTAGCCTTGCATCAGTACAGCCCATTGTTTTTTGTTTGTTTGTTTTAGACAGAGTCTTGCACTGTTGCCCAGGCTGGAATGCAGTGGCACGATCTCAGCTCACTGCAGCCTTTGCCTCCTGGGTTCAAGCAATTCTCATGCCTCAGCCTCCCGAGTAGCTGGGAGTATAGGAGTGCGCCACCATGCCTGGCTAATTTTTTTGTATTTTTAGTAGAGATGGGTTTGCACCATGTTGTCCAGGCTGGTCTTGAACTCCTGACTTCAGGTGATCCACCTGCCTCGGCCTCCCAAAGTGCTGGGATGATAGGTATGAGCCATCATGCCCAGCCCAGCCCCTTGTTTTGATTGGATTTGAAAATTAGATTCCTGCAGGTTTGAGAACCCCAAAGTGGATTCTAAGCCAGTTTCATGATTGCCATTTGCTATGGTTTGAATGTTTTTGCCCTCTCCAAAATTCATGTTGAAACTTGATCCCCAGTGCAACTGTATTGGAAAGTGTGGCCTTTGGGAAGTGATTGAGTCATGAAGGCTCTGCCCTCATGGATGAGATTGGGTGACCTTATGAAAGGGCTTGACAGAGGGAGTTAGCCTTTTCTTGCCCTTCTATCTTTCACGGTGTGAGGACAGTGTTCCTCCATTCTGGAGGATGCAGCATTCAAGGCACCATCTTAGAAGCAGAGACCAGACTCTCACTAGTCTACCTGCTGGTGCCGTGATGTTGGACTTCCCATTCTCCAGAACTGTGAGAAATAAATTTCTGTTCTTTATAAATGACCCAGTCTCGGGTACTTTGTTATGGCACCACTAACAAAACAGACTGAGACACCATTTAAATAGTGTGGGGGGTATAGATACATAAAAAGTCACCCAGAAGTCCAGGGTGGGAACTAGGGCACTGCAAGCAAAATATTTAGGGTGCAAAACTTAAGGATGCACTTCCTGTCGGAGGCTGGCCATGCACTTGCACAATCCTGAGAGTGAGGACCTCCTTAAATGTCATGGATGGGGTGTCTTGATCCTCTCAGTCCTGGCTCTGCAAAAGCCATAGCGTTGTTGGATCTAAATCCTCATAAGGCAAGGTGAAGGCAAGAGAAAGAACCAAGAGTCAACTGAACATCCAAAAGGAATGGCACTGTGCCCTGTGGGGCACACAGATGCCATATCTGGCAGTCTCACAAGCACCTGCAATGGAAACAGCATCAATATCAGTTTATACCTGAGGACATCCAGGCTTATAGAGGTTAGGAAAGAAGAGGAAAGGAAAAAATAAAGAAAGGAAAGGAAAAAAGAAAGGAAAGGAAAGGGGAAAGGGAAGTGAAGGGAAGGGGAAAGGGAAGGAAAGGAAAGGAAGGGAAAAGGGAAGGGGAGGGAAAAGGGAAGGGGAGGGGAGGGGAGGCAAAGGGAAGGGAAGGGAGGGGGAGGGGAAGGGAGGGAAGGCAAAGGGGAGGGGAGGGGAAGGGAGGGAAGGCAAAGGGTAGGGGAGGGAAGGAAAGGGAAGGAAAGGGGGAGGGAGGGGAGGGGAGGAAAGTGGAGGGAATGGCAGGGAAGGAAAAGGGAATGGAAAGAAAGGGAAGGGAAGGAAAAGGGAAGGGAGGGGAGGGGAGGGGAGAGAAGGGAAGGAAAAGGGAAGGGAGGGGAGGGGAGGGGAGAGAAGGGAAGGAAAAGGGAAGGGAGGGGAGGGGAGGGGAGAGAAGGGAAGGGAAAGGAAGGGAGGGGGAAGGGAGGGGAGGGGAGGGAAGGGAAGGGAAGGGAGGTTCTTTTTTTTCCACCAAGTAGTAGCATTGATTCCACTTCATGAATGAGGTCAGTGGAACCCAGAGCCTTTATATGTTTCCCATATATTTAATAATTTATTATTTTTAAATCACTCCTTGACAAAAAAATACTTTAGATCACGTATTCACTTAGATGACTACATCCATCCTTCAAACATGACTGAGTAGGCATCCAGTCAGGCACAGCAAAGAGTCAGATTTCTTTCTGGAATCATAGAAGCCAGTGGGAGAAAAGATTAGCTGGTGGCATGAATGAGATGGAGTAAGTAAAGAAAGGAGCGTCTGCTGCATGATCAAGGGGAGCGGGAATTATGCCAGAAAGCTTAAGCTGAAGGTGATTGTCAAAACTTCACAGGATTTAGCCCTGAGCTTCCCTGGTAAATACAGTAGCTGCCATCAACCAATAAAAAGCATCCCCGCCTGTGACCTGTCGGATGAGAGATGATCTCCCCAGCACTAAACTGAAAGCACACTTTGGTGCTGAGAATCTTTACATAAGGGGCACCGACAGCAGCAGTGCCAAGGAGAATAACGTAGTAATGAGAATAGCTGCCGTTTATTGCATAGGCACTTTCAAATGCTAATGTAATGCTCTCAAGTATACCACAAAGCAAGTCTTATTCTAACCTTCATTTTTTTTTAGAGTGGGAAACTGAGACTCAGAGACAGCAAGCAGCTTGGCCACAATCCCAGTCATTAAATGCCCGGTCTGATTGAAAGCAGATTTTCCCAAAGTGGCCAGTATCCCTTGGCTGCTCCATTTACAAGACCAGTGCCGCCGGTCACAGGATGAAAATCACCTCTTACTACTGACAGGATATATTAAATAAGTGACACAGACATTCCAGTTAATTAACTATGTTGCCCCCTGCCCTTTCATTCCATAATCAACCCTGTTATCTGGGGCCAAGTTTCCTAGTGTCTCCTATTTTATTAAAGTCCTTGCTTCCTGTATCTACAGAATCTCTATAGAGCTCTAGAGAGGCCTCCAACAAGGGAGGGGATACGGACTAGGAAGAGACATCATATCTGGGTGCCATGAGCACCCAGATTGAGTGAGACCTGGGTGAAACTGTCAGGAGCAGAAGTTCTCAAAGTGTGGTCCCATAGCGGCAGCAGCACCTGGTACCTCATTAGATATGCAATCCTCTGACCCTGTAGAAGTGGGTAAAACTATCCCAGACCTATTGAATTAGAAACTTGAGTAGGCCAGCAATTTCAGGTTTAACCAGCCCTCCAAGTGACTCTGATACATGCCAAAGCTTGATTACCGCTGGTTTAAGTTAGTAGTTTTCAACTGTGGCTGCACATTGGCGTCACCTGGGAAGCTTTAAGAACTACCAATGCCCAGGTCTTACCCCCAAAAATTGACATTATTATTGTTATTATTATTTAGACAGGGTCTCGCTCTGTCACCCAGGCTGGAGTGCAGTGGTAGGATCATGCCTCATTGTAGCCTCGACCTCTCAGGCTCCTGTTCTGTAGATCCTCCCACCTTAGCCTCCTAAATAGCTGGAACTGAGAGGTGACAGCGTGCTGGCAGTCCTCAGAGCCCTCGCTTGCTTTCGGCACCTCCTCTGCCTGGGCTCTCACTTTGGCAGCATTTGAGGAGCCCTTCAGCCCACCACTGCACTGTGGGAGCCCCTTTCTGGGCTGGCCAAGGCTGGAGCCCACTCCCTCAGCTTGCTGGGAGGTGTGGAGGGAGAGGCGCGAGCGGGAACCGGGGCTGCATGCAGCGCTTGTGGGCCAGCTGGAGTTCCGGGTGGGCGTGGGCTTGGCGGGCCCCGCACTCGGAGCAGCCGGCCAGCCCTGCTGGCCCCGGGCAATGAGGGACTTAGCATCTGGGCCAGCGGCTGCGGAGGGTGTACTGGGTCCCCCAGCAGTACCGGCCCACCTGCGCTGTGCTCGATTTCTCGCCGGGCCTTAGCTGCCTTCCCGCGGGGCAGCCCTCGGGACTGAAGCCTGCCATGCCTGAGCCTTCCCCCGCCTCCGTGGGTTCCTGTGCAGCCCGAGCCTCCCCGACGAGCGCCGCCCCCTGCTCCATGGCGCCCAGTCCCATCGACCGCCCAGGGGCTGGGGAGTGTGGGTGTAGGGCACCGGGACTGGCAGGCAGCTCCACCTGCAGCCCCGGTGCGGGATCCACTGGGTGAAGCCACTTGGGCTCCTGAGTCTGGGGGGGCCTTGGAGAACCTTTATGTCTAGCTCAGGGATTGTAAATACACCAATCGGTACTCTGTATCTAGCTCAAGGTTTGTAAACACACCAATCAACACCCTGTGTCTAGCTCAAGGTTTGTGAGTGCACCAATCGACACTCTGTATTTAGCTGCTCTGATGGGGCCTTGGAGAACCTTTGTGTAGATACTCTCTATCTAACTAATCTGATGGGGACGTGGAGAACCTTTATATCTAGCTCAGGGATTGTAAACGCACCAATCAGCACCCTGTCAAAACAGACCACTTGGCTCTACCAATCAGCAGGATGTGGGTGTGGCCAGATAAGAGAATAAAAGCAGGCTGCCCGAGCTAGCAGTGGCAACATGCTCTGGTACCGTTCCACGCTGTGGAAGCTTTGTTCTTTTGCTCTTTGCAATAGATCTTGCTGCTGCTCAGTCTTTCGGTCCACGCTGCTTTTATGAGCTTGTAACGCTCACCGCCAAGGTCTGTAGCTTCACTCCTGAGCCAGCGAGACCACGAACCCACCAGAGGAAGAAACTCGGAACACAAGTGAACATCAGAAGGGACAAACTCCAGACGCGCCACCTTAAGAACTGTAACACTCGCCGCGAGGGTCCGCGTCTTCATTCTTGAAGTCAGTGAGACCAAGAACCCACCAATTCCGGACACAGAACCACAGGCATGCGCCATCACTCCTGGCTAATTAAAAAAAAAAAATCGTCTGTAGAGATGGCGTCTCCCTGTGTTGCCCAGGCTGGAAGAATCTACTTTAGTGGGTTTGGGATATGACTCAGGCATTGGGATGTTTTTTAAAATTTCTTGGCTGATTCTAGACTGTAGCCAAGGTTGAGAAGCCCTGGTTTAGAAGCTCAGAGAACTCTAGACCTGACCCCAGCTCAGTCCCCCTGAGTGATAGGTGCCCCAGAATGGGCTCCCATGGGCTCAAGAGTTCAAAGTTGTCACTTTGCCCCTGAAATTCTTCTTGTTTTGAAGGCTTAGAATTAAGGCACTGGACATTGGGAAGTGCTGTGCAACCAAGGAAGAAACATGGAATTGGAAAGACTTTTTTTTTTTTTTTTTTTTTTTTTTTGAGACGGAGTTTCACTCTTTCGCCCAGGCTGGAGTGCAGTAGCATGATTTCGGCTCATTTCTTGAATGATTTATTCAACAGCCTCCCATAGTATCACCTCACTGCTAGATATTTACTGAGTGCTCACACCCCGACTCTGTTCCATGAGCTTTATATGTGTCTACTAGTTTAATCCTTACAAAATCCTTATGAGGCATTTGCATTTTACAGATGAGGAAACTGAGGCCAAGAGAGTAAATAATTTGCTCAGGATTTCATAGCTGCATGCAGCAGATTCAAATTCAAGCTGTCTGGCTTTGGAGCTTAATTTTTAACCACTCTACAAACCTCCTCCAACCAGTGTTCATGTCCACCAGAGGTACCTTCCTGCGGCACCCTCGGAATGGGGTTTGGCAGACACTGATTGTTGTTCACCTGGTGTCTATTCTCCATTTCCTCCCAACTAACAACACTGATTTTATTTAGGACTCCAATTTATCCCATTAAAAATACCTTCATACCTCTCTGTACCTAGAGTGACCATGTGAACTAGTTTTTTAGTTTCGCTCTTGTTGCCCAAGCTGGAGTGCAGTGGCGAAATCTCGGCTCATTGCAACCTCCGCCTCCTGGGTTCAAGCGATTGTGCTGCCTCAGCCTCCCAAGTAGCTGGGATTACAGGCGTGTGCCACCACACCCGGCTAATTTTTTGTATTTTTAGTAGAGACGGGGTTTCACCACGTTGGCCAGGCTGGTCTGAACTCCTGATGTCAGGTGATCCACCCACCTCAGCCTCCCAAAGTGCTGGGATTATGAGTGCCCGGCTGTGAACTAGTTTTAATTAAGGAGAAATAAGCTACAGGATGGTGCTTCCAGGGAGATTCCTTTTTTTTTTTTTTTTTTTTTTGAGACAGAGTATCACTCTGTCACCCAGGCTAGAGTGCAGTGGTGCAATCTCAGCTCACTGTAATCTCTGCCTCCCCGGTTAAGGCAATTCTTGTGCTTCAGCCTCTTGAGTAGCTGAGACTACAGGCACACACCACCATCCCCAGCTAATTTTTGTATTTTTAGTAGAGACAGGGTTTCACCATGTTGGCCAGGCTGGTCTTGAACTCCTGACCTGAAGTGATCCGCCTGCCTTGGCCTCCCAAAGTGCTGGGATTACAGGCATGAGCACCGCGCCTAGCCCAGGGAGACTACTATCCAGGAGGATTTCCAGCAAGTATAAATGGGAACAGGGTCAGCTAGCATGAGCCATTCTCTCTTTGCTGTTCCCTCATTCTTTCTGCCTGTAGCATGGTAGCAAAACCTGGAGGTGCAGCAGCCATCCTATAGACATGAGAATGAAGGTCGCCTGCTGAGAGAGTTAGACAGAGCCTGGGTTTCGATGACTTCCTCGAGTTGTTGCACCAGCTCTGGACGACTGTCCTCAGGACTCTTGGTACAAAAGGAAACTAAGCCTATAATTGGTTCAGTGACTGCATTTGGATTTCCATTAAATGCAGCCAAATGTCATATCTAATAAACACAGGGGATCACGCATTCTTCAAAGTTTGTGTTAATGGTCAGTCTCATAGCCCACCACTAGCAACAGCAGTGTCCTTAAACTTGGGTATAAATGGGAATCAGACAGGGCTTGGGGGCCCTGTACACAGTGACTAGGACCCACCTTCAGAGCTTTTGATTCAGTAGGACTGGGGCAGGACCTGGGAATTTGCTTTCATATTCTAGCAAGCTCCCAGGGGATGCTGATGTAGCTGGTGCAGGGACCACACTTTGAAAAAGACTGCCCTACAGCACGGGGCTCAAACAACTACTGACCCAAAGTGCATTTTCAGCCCTTTCCCTGATTCCCCTGACTCATTTCCCCAAGACACTATTCTCCAGCCACACCAGGCTGGAGGATGCCCCAAATACCCAACGTGCCCACACCTCCAAGGCTTTGCCCAGGTCAGTCCCTCACCTTGCAATGCTCATTCTTCCTGTTTTTCTGCAACCCAAACCCCATTTGTCCTTTAAAACTCAGGCTTCTTTTTCATGACATTTTCTCCAATGCCTCCGGAGAATGAAACTTTCTTCCTGCTGAGTCTCCCTGAGCTTTGCTTTTTATCTGTTCAAGCATCTCTTTCATTCTGCTTGGAATTATAGGCAGTTGTTTGCTTGGCTATCTCTCACCAGGATGAGAGCTCCATGTGGGCAGAGACCAGGTAATAGTATTCAGCTCTGTAATCATCCCCTCTTCAACCTGGCCCAATGCTATAAACATACAAGTTGCTCATAAATTAATGAATTACATGAGAACATTTAGATAGAAAAAAGTTTCTCCCCCAAATAAGCATAGTTAACATTTACTAAGTACTTCCTGTGTGCCAGAACCTAGTCTATATGCCGTGTCTCACTGCCATGAGGTTTTAAAGGAGGTTCTATTATCCTCCTATAGATGAGGAAACTAAGGCACAGGGAGTTTAAGTAACATCATATGTCTAAGAAGTGGTGAAGGTTGCTGAGCATGGTGGTTCATGCCTGTAATCCCAGCACTTTGGGAGGCCAAGGTGGGTGGATCACGAGGTCAGGAGTTCAAGACCAGCCTGGCCAACATGGTGAAACCCCATCTCTACTAAAAATACAAAAATTAGCCAGGCGTGGTGGCACATGCCTGTAATCCCAGCTACTCCAGAGGCTGAGGCAGGAGAATCGCTTGAACCTGGGAGGCGGAGGTTGCAGTGAGCCGAGATCACACCACTGCACTCCAGCCTGGGCAACAGACAAGACCCTGTCTTGGGTAAAAAAACAAAAAGTGGTGAAGGCAGGATTTGAACTGGAGCCCATGCATTTAGCCATGCATCAGCCTGCCCCTCAAGCACAGAATCCAGACCTGTCAGGTCAGGGACAAAGAAATATTAGCAAGAAAGGTGATCTATTCCTGAGTGACCAGGAGGCTAGTAAAATTAATCAGGGTCTTTAAGTGGCTGAGAAATGAACTACCTATTAAAACCTGTCTTTAATAAGAAAAATAAAGTTAGGAAATGGGTGCAATTAGTAAGTCATAATAAAAAACAGGTAAAGGGTCACTTAGAAAAATTAAATGCTAGAGAGATACATAAATCAAGGGGCCCTATGGCATGCAAACCGAAAGGTCTTGGCAGAATTAGCTAATGAACTTAAGAAACTCTTGACACCTACTTTCAAAAAGCGACGGCAAACAGGGAGATGGCTAGAGAGGGAAAAACGTGGGACTCAAAAAACAAGAAGAAAACCGATTCCAGCAATTTCCCTCCAGGGAAGCCGTAAGTTCCGTTTGTAGGCAAGCCATAGAACAAATTTTATGATTAAAAATTTACGATAAATTTTACAAGTAGAAAATCCAGTAAGCAGCTGGAGGGCAACAGAGACCTGAGCCATAAACGGAACTGGCAGGTTTACACAGAAGTCATGCCGGGAAACCATAATGCTTTTTTATTCTAACTAACTTGTAATATTAGTGGGAAGAGGGTCCACTGAAGATTTAGTGCTTTTTGATTTTAGAAAAGCCTTTGATTCAGTGTCTCATGAAATCTGACTGGCAAAATTAATTTAAATTGGCACAGACAGGGACCGTCTCAGGGATGGGGCTCGGCTGAAAGGCTATAAACACAGGCGTGATGAATGGGAGACGCAGACCAGAGGGGCAAGGGGGCAGGCCCGGGCCTGCTGCTGGGCGAGGTGAGATCAGCAGAAGCGGAAACCCGATCACATCGTCGGTCTCCATGAAGGTGAGGTTCATGGCTGGTCAATGAAATCTGCGTGTGTCATTTAGCCAGGGTGACACAAGGAGGAGAGGGTGGGAAACCCAAGAGATAATTATCGCCAGAAATTAGTGTGTGCTGTACGGCAGATGCCTGTGACCTGAAGAACCAGTCTACCGGACAAGAAAGCTAAGTCCAGGTTAGTGTACAGAAAAATACTGAAGAGATGGGGAGATACACAGGTGGCCAAAGCTGGAAGCAGGTGTAACAGAAAACCTGCTTTGAACAACTTATCTCACACGTAGGAATTAGACAGGTGGGGTTAGCTTCAGGCACAGAATGATCAAGGCCCTGGCTTAATCTCTTTGCCATTTTTTTGACCCTGTCCTCTCCGTCATGTTAGTACCTTCCCAAGGCTGGCTTTCCTCAAGATTGCCACCTTGTAGTGAGTTGAATGGTGGCCACCAAAAGATAGGCCCATGCCCTGGAACCTGTGAACTTGATCTTATTTGAAAAAAAGTGTCTTTGCAGCTGTATTAAGGATTTTGAGATGAGATCATCCTAGATTGACTGGGTGGGCCCTACATCCAATGGTAAGTGTCACTGTAACAGACAGGAGACACAGGCGCAGAGGAGAAGGCTGCAGGAAGACAGAGGCAGAGGAGGAAGTGATGCCTCCACAACTGAGGATTGCCTGGAGCCAGCAGAAGGTGGAAGGGAAGGAAGGAGTCACCCCTTGGGCCTTCAGAGGGAGCACAGCCCTGCCAGGACTTCGATGTTGGACTTCTGGTCTCCAGGACTGTAAGAGAATACATTTCTGTTATTTTAAGCCACCCAGTCTGTGGCAATTTGTTACAGAAGTCTCAGGAAACAAATACATGCCTGCTAGTGTGCTTCCTGTGGGTGAGCCGGCTGGCTTTGTGTGGTTCTCTGGTTAAGACTGAAGAAGTCAGGCCGGGCGTGGCGACTCGCACCTGTAATCCCAGCACTTTGGGAGACCGAGGCAGGCAGATCACCTGAGGTCAGGAGTTCGAGACCAGCCTGACCAACATGGAGAAACCCCATCTCTACTAAAAATACAAAATTAGCCAGGCATGGTGGCACATGCCTGTAACCCCAGCTACTCGGGAGGCTGAGACAGGAGAATTGCTTGAACCTGGGAGGTGGAGGTTGCGGTGAGCTGAGATCGCACCATTGCACTCCAGCCTGGGCAACAAGAGTGAAACTCCATCTCAAAAAAAAAAAAAAAAAAAGGGTGAAGAAGTCACTTTTCCGTAAGCCCCAAGCAAGCCACTCTCACAGCTCTCTGGCTAACATGGGCCCAGCCTGGTCCTTGAACCAGTCATGGACAAGGGATTCAGACCATAACACATGGCTTCCACTCCTCTTTCCGGTGGAATGGACAGTGCTCACTGGCTACCTTCTAGATAGGGAGCCTCCTAGCCTGTATCTCCCTGGAGGATGAGCTAGAGCAGAGACCCACCCAACCTGTGCCACCATACACGACGCACGGGTACTGTAAGGGAGAAAGGAACCTTCCTGTTTAAGCCACTGCGATTTGGGGCTTGTGACTCTAGTCTACATAACTAATGTGAGGGGAAGATCACTGGAGCTATCTGGAGGGACTGGCAGAATTTGACAGGAAGATATGCAAGATATTCCAGGTGGGCAGAACTGTAGGAGCAGGAAGGGGACAGGATGTTCAGGGAAAGGCGGTGGCTGCCCCTGCCGAAACAAGTGTCAGAAAGGAAGAGCCAGGCCAGCAAAGGAGGGGCCAAAGCACCCGAGGACAGAATCTGGATGTGAAGAGGAGGAAGGACGGGGGAGAAGAGAAATTTAGAAAGCTTTTGTCAAAATCCAAGCAAGGGCAGTGTGTGTGGTGGCTCACACCTGTAATCCCAGCACTCTGGGAGGCCGAGGCGGGTGGATCACTTGAGGTCAGGAGTTCAAGACCAGCCTGGCCAACATGGTGAAACCCCATCTCTACTAAAAATACAAAAATTAGCTGGGTGTGGTGGCGGGCGCCTGTAATCCCAGCTACTCTGGAGTCTGAGGCAGGAGAATCGCTTAAATCCGGGAGGTGTAGGTTGCAATGAGCCGAGATTGTGCCACTGCTCTCCAGCCTGGGCAATAGAGGGAGACTCTGCTAAAACAACAACAACAGCAAAACAAACAACAACAACAACAACAAAACTAGCAAGAATGACGAGGACCTGACCCCAAAGAGGGGCAGCGAAAACAATGATACTGGTGGTAGTGAGCACAGTAGTATAGTAATAGGTACCATTGATTAAAGCCTCGTTATGTGCCAAGGACTGTGCTGACTGCTTTATCTTCATATCCTAGTAGAAAGGAGAGATCAGGGCTAAGGCGCAGTGAACCAACATAGGCACAACTTAGGTGAGCACCGAACACCGAGGCCCAGGGCTTGGCTGGAGCACCTCTACTTTGCCTCAGTAGGTTTCCCACTGCACGCCGTGGCCTGCAGAGGAGGAGAGCTGCCCTAAACTCTAGTGATTTAGGCAGATCTAGTGTTCACTAGGCCGGTGACCCACTGGGGAGGAGATGGGTTCATTGTGGGGCAGGCCCAGACCCACAGGATCACAGTCCAGGCTGGTCACCCTCCTCTGTCCTGATAGGAGGTGGACAGCTCAGAGATGATGAGGAAGTGTACGCATCTCTGTCAAAGGGACTGGTGATCTGGTTGTGGCTCTGTTATACCAAACCTCCTTGGAAGCTCTAGACCCGGGGAGGTGGCACAAAAACTTCCTGGTCATCCTTCAAAGAACATTATTCCAGCTGGGCATGGTGGCTCATCTCTGTAATCCCAGTACTTTGGGAGGCAGAGGCAGGAGGATCACTTGAGCTCAGGAGTTCAAGACCAGCCTAGGCAAAGTAACAAGACCCTGTTTCGGCCGGGCACAGTGGCTCACACCTGTAGTCCCAGCACTTTGGGAGGCCAAGGCAGATGGATCACCTGAGGTCAGGAGTTCGAGACCAGCCTGGCCAATATGGCAAAACCCCGTCTCTACTAAAAATACAAAAATTAGCTGGGCGTGGTGGCACACGCCTGTAATCCCAGCTACTTGGGAGGCTGCTGAGGCAGAAGAATTGCTTGAACTTGGGAGGCAGAGGTTGCAGTGAGCCGAGATTGCGCCACTGCATTACAGCCTGAGCGACAGAGTGAGACTCCGTCTCAAAAACAACAACAAAAACAACAAAAAAAAACCCTGTTTTTACTAAAAATTAAAAAAAAATAACCAGGCATGATGGCACGTGCCCATAGTCCCAGCTACTCAGGAGGCTGAGGCAGGAGGATTGCTCGAACCCAGGAGATCAAGATCAAGGCTGCAGTGGGCTATGATCATGCCACTGCACCCCAGCCTGGTGACAGAGCAAGACTCTGTCTCAAAAAAAAAAAAAGTCCATTATTTCACGGAGATGGGAATGTATGGTTCCAGTGAGAGGCATAATTGTGAGCAAAAAAGGGGCTTTATTGGCTTCTGTCACTGGGAGGTCCTGGGCAGGTATGGGTTCAGGCTGAGCTAAGATTCTGATGTCGGAAATCCATCCCTCCCACCCTCTCTCAGTCCTTCCTGGTTTTGGTCTTTCCCTACTTGGTGGCAAGGCTGACCCTGGTAATTCCAGGCCTTCGTGGATTTTGCAGCCAGTGATCCCAGTGAAAAAGACTGTGCCACTTTCCCAGCAGTTTCAGCAAAAGTCCCAGTGATGACCCTCATTGGCACAGGTTGGGTCAGTGTCCATCTCAAGGACTGGGAGTAGGATCAGACCCACCAAAGGGCATGGTGAGAAAGTGGTATATTTTGGGTACTACCCAAAGACAGACACTGAGACAGGGTTTGAGGCCAACAGTTTCTTCGGGAGGTGATGCCAGAAAGCATCGGCAGAAGTAAGGAAGTGGAATGGGGAAGGGAGGGGAACAACAGAGGGTGAATTCATGAGCAGGTTATAATTTGGGCAACTGCCACTCAACTCCACTGAGGCCCCAAGGCCCTGGGACTTCGTGAAGAAGCAGCCTTGGAGCATTCAGTCACCAACAGTCCAATTTCCCTTTGGTTGAAAACTCCTCCTGCAGGCATTGGCTCTCCCTGCTTCTCACCTGCCCCACGCCTGTGGGCTGAGCATGCTTCCCTGGCCAGAGAGAGCCTTCAGGCAGGACCTTGCAGTAAGAGGTCATCAGGGTGTGTGGAAACCAAGTGCTGGAAGAAAATGGGCAGGCCACGGTGGTCCCCAAGGGAAAATAGGAGGCTGTTGTCAAAAGAATGGGACAGGACCGTAAGGCAGGCACAAAGAGCAGACATCCGCTTAAGCCACGCTCCTGACAGCATGCAGGATGGGGAAGCTGAACTCTGAACCTCACCCCCAAATTGGTGCATGTTTCTGGACAGCACAGCCATAAATTGCAACAGTTTTCCAACAAGGTCTGGTCTGATTTCAGGAATATTAGGAGCCATTTCTTTAAGGAATAACTTGATAAGACTGAAGATAACATCATCCCAAAGGATTAATACTAATGAAGGATGATCATAGATCCCGAAAAGTACATCACTAATGGTAGAATTTCAGGCTCCACAAGAGTTGTTCACTGGGGAGAGATTCTTGGGAAGAGGAGCCCCATCTAGCACTGATACCACACAGGGAGTCATCCTCTATGGCCAATTAGATGTCAAATGAAGGTCCACTGCTAATAATAACTATTACCGACCTCACCTGGGCCTTGTAATAATCCGTGAGGCAGGAAGAATAAGTATTATTCCCACTTTAGAGAAGAGAAAACAGAGGGTCAAAGAGGCTGCATGACAGAGGAAGGCTAATCTGCTTTATCTAACTCCAGTCAGACTCCCTGTTGCTGTCTCAGTGTGACCAAAGGCACTGGAAGGAAAGTAAGTCCTGGCTTGTGGAACTTAATCCCTCCAACTCATTCCTTTATTTTTGTTTTTAGTTTTTTATTTGTTTGTTTGTTTTGAGGCAGAATCTCTCTCTGTCACCCAGGCTGGAGTGCAGTTGTACAATCTGGGTTCACCGCAACCTCCACTTCCTGGGTTCAAGCGATTCTCCTGCCTCAGCCTCCCAAGTAGCTGGGACTATAGGTGTGTGCCAGCATGCCTGGCTAATTTTTGTATTTTTAGTAGAGATGGGGTTTCACCATGTTGGTCAGGCTGGTCTCGAACTCCTGGCCTCAAGTGATCTGCCCCCCTCAGTCTCCCAAAGTGTTGGGATTACAGGTGTGAGCCACGGTACCTGGCCCAACTCATTCCTTTAATACTTTCCCCGTGGTCCTAAACCTTCCCCCAAGTCCAGACCCCACACCTGGGCTGCTGTCAGAATGATAAGGGCAAGTGGTAAGGGTAAGTGGGAGGAGAACACAGGGCTTCTGGGAAGCACAGAAAAGACCCAAAAGAGCACTAAATAGTAATAATGACAACCCAGGCACTATGAAGGCAGAACGATGTCTCACAGAGGGGTGTGTGTGTGTGTGTGTGTGTGTGTGTGTGTGTGTGTGTGTGTGGTGTTTTTGTTTTTTTGAGACAAGGTCTCACTGTCACCCAGGCTGGAGCTGGAGTGCAGTGGCACAATCATGGCTCACTGCAGCCTTGATCGCCGGGGCTCAAGCCATCTTCCCACCTCAGCCTCCTGAGTAGCTGGGATTACAGGCATGCACTACCAGGCCCAGCTAATTTTTTTTTTTTTTTTTTTGGTAGAGACAAGCTCTTGCTATGTTGCCCAGGCTGGTGGCCAGCCTTCAGTGGCTGCTCACGAGCTGTCAGGAATCAGTCAGCTGCCTAAGTTAGATCTCTCGCTCCTGGCTGCTCTGATTCTGCCCTTGGGTGGGTTGCTATGATGTTCAATGTCCTCAGAAAAGAGCCCCAGGTTCCTGAGTTTTGTTAATGGGAGAAGAGATCAAAGAGGTTCCCTCAAAAGTTTGCAGTCAGATGATCCAGAGATGGTGGTGATGCCATGGAGAGGAGAACCAAGTGGAGAAAGAAGCCAGAGGCAAGAAAAGCAAAGTTCCCATACATTACAGTTTGTCAAGGCCTTGCTCTGCCTGGCACCTTCCTTCTCAGGTGCCCAGACTCAGCCTTGCCAGGTTTCATAGAGAAAACATCCCTGGGCCCCAGGATCCATGTGGTCCAGGCTGGTCTCCTATCAGTCAACTACTCCTGCCACTGCTCTGTCTCTCCTGGCCAGTCCTCTGCTCCCCGTCCTACTCAGACACCCCTCCCCAGCTTTCCCAGCCCCTGATCAGAATGCAGCATCACAATGGGCTGTTTTTAATCCTTGCTAGATCTCTTTTATTTTTTTTCTCCTTTGCTGGGCTTCCTGGGCTGTAATTTTTCCCTCTGTGTCATCCATCACAGACACAACGTTGCTTGTGCAAATTAAAATGCACCTCAGAATAATAGAAAAGGGGCTTTCTTTCCCCCCTCCTTTTCCTTCCCAGCAGCAACTCTTCAATACAAAACATTTGTCTCTGGGCAAGAGCAGGAGCATTAATTAACCCCATGTGTGCCACTGCCAGGCCCATATAGTCCCTGCAGCCACGTGCAGCCAGTGATCAGGGCTAGGGGGCAGCTGGAGAATGGCAGAGAATTGCATCCAGGGAATAAATTCTCCAGACTTTTCTTATCATGGGTCTGGAACTGTTTATCCATTGCCTCTTTAGTCCTCACTACAACCCTATGGGGCAGGGACTATTATTATCTTTATTTTTTAAATGCAGAAACTGCTGGTGGTTTAGTGACTTGCCCAGTTAGTCGATTTGCACACTGACTCCAAAATCCATACCCTACTTTTGCTACTCAAAGTGTGGTTACATGGACATAGCATCAGACCTACTGAATCAGAATCTGCATTTTAACAAAATACACAGGTGATTCATGTGTACATGTATACGTTCAAGTTTAAGATCTGCTCCCCATTCCCACCACCCTGATGTCCCCATCTTTACTGGTCAAGAAAGGTTCTTTCAGAAGCTACAGTGGGCTCAGCTCAAGCATCTCCTCCTCCATGAAGCCAGGCCCCAAAGAGACTTGACCAGGCCTTTTCTAGGTTGCTGTCTTCTCAAACTTCAAGTTTAGGGTACACGAGGCAAAATCATGGTAAGCATAATAGTATTACACTTATTTACCTACGTACTTGCTTCATCTGTCCATGCTGAGCTCCTTGGACCCTGAGATGTGCCTTATTTTGTCCTGTCTCTGCAGTGCCAGGACAGTGCCTGTCACCTAACCAAAAGGCTGGCACTGAACCTTTATGTTCCTGTATGTTAATGCTCCTAAAAATACACACACACACACACACACACACACACACACATATATACTCACACTTTTTTTCTAATTATAAAAGTCATGCAGTAGGACTTCTGCTTCTGGGAAGATGGAATAGACATACTTTTTTCTATTACTGCCAGTAAGTATAACTAGAAGGTCTGGAAAACAATCATAAGAAGAGGTGGAAAGAAGGAGGCAGATGGGCTAGAGATGTCAGGTCCCAAGGAACAACATGGAGGTGAGTTTTCTGGGTTCTCATTTTGCCTTGTATACCCTAAACTTGAAGCTTGAGAAGACAGCAACCCAGAAATATTGAGTGAAGATTTTATAAACCCCAAACAAAAGCCTGCTGTCTCTAGCCAAAGGATTGGGAAAGGGCAAATCTAGCAAGACGGAAAACTTAGATTATAACTGCTCTACTCCAGCCAAATACCACATGAAAAAAAATCTGAGTTTATATCCTCACCACCACCATCAAAGGCCAAGTGGGGAGCCTAGAGTTCCATTTTTGCTGGGTTATAAGGAGGCAGCCTAACCCCACCACCAGGGTGGTATCCAAGAAGACCGTGTAGGGAGCCAGGACTTTCATCCTCACCAGTTGGTAATGAGTTGGCAATGAGGCCCCTAACTCTATGGTGTCACTGGAGGCCACATAGAGAGTAGTAAGGAGGCACTCCTACTCTTCCAGCCAGAGATACCTGATACTTTCCAGAGAGGTATCAGGGGAGGCCCAATGAGAGGCAGAATTCCCACCCCCACTCAGAAGTAATGAGGAGTACTGTCTTGTACTCTCACCTGGCAGTAACAACAGAGTACTCCCTCTTCCCCTGCCAGAGGGGTGTCAGAAAAAAGTAGAAAAGATTTAAATGAGATCCAAAGTCTCCTAATATTTTGCCCACAATATCCAGATTTTAATAAAAAGTTATTATATCAAGATCCAAGAAGATTTAAAACTGAATAGAAAAAGACAATCAATAGTTGCCAATACCAAGATGACAGATGTTAGTACTAGCTGACAAAGACTTTAAAGCAACCATCATAAAAATGCTTCAACAAGCAACAGACACACTTGAAACAAATAAAAAAATAGGAAGCATCAGCTAAGAAATAGAAAATATCAGTAAAGTAATAGAAGATATAAAGAAGAACAAAGTGGAAATGTTAGAACTGACAAGTACAATAACAACAAAAACAACAACAACAAAACCCTCAATGGATGTGCTCAGTAGCAGAATAGAGAGGCCAGAGGAAATAATCAGTAAACTTGAAAATAGAACAATAGAAATAACCCAGTCATCACCCAATTTGAACAACAGAGAATAAAAAAACCTCAAAAAGATAAAGAGTATCAGGGACCTTGGGTCTATAACAAAAGAGCTAACATTTGTATCATGAGAATTCTAGAAGGAGAAAAGAAGGACGGCAAGGCTGAAAAAGTACTTGAAAAAATCATGGCTGGAAATTTCACAAATTTGGCAAAAGTCATAAACTTGCAGATTCAAAAAATTGAGCAAAGCTTAAACAGAATGAACCTAAAGAAATCTATATCAATATACAACATAGTCAAACTTCTGAAAACTAAAGATAGATAAAAAATTCTTGACAACAATAAGAGATCAATGACACCATATCTATAGGGGAAAACAATTTACATCACAGCAGATCTCTCATCAGAAACCAGTGTCACAACAGTTTTAAAGTGCTCAGAGAAAAGAACCATCAATCAAGAATCCGATACCCCCAACAACAAGAACAACCAAAAACCCTTCAGGAATGAAGGGGGGAAATGAAATCAAGACATTCTAAGATGGAAGGAAACTAAGATAATCTGTTGCCGTCAGACCTATCCTAAAAGAATGGCTAAAGGAAATTCTGTGAACAGAAAGAAGACAATAAAAGCAGAAACTCTGAAACATCAGGAAGAAAGAACACAGCAAGCAAAATTATGAGTAATACAATAGATGTTCCTTCTCCTCTTGGATTTTTCTAAATTATGAAGCAAAAATTATAACCCTGTCTAAATGGAGGTCTAAACATGTGCAGGAGAAATATTTAAGACTTGTTGGGTGCAATGGCTCATGCTTGTAATCTCTTCACTTTGGGAGGCTGAGGCAGGAAGATCACTTGAGCCCAGAAATTCAAGACTAGCCTGGGCAACATAGCGAGACCTTGTCTCTAATAATTAAAAAAGGAAATAAAATGGAAATATTGAAGACTATTACATAATAAAAAACGGAGGGTAAAGGAACATAAAGAGAGGTAAGGTTTCTACTCTTCATTTGAACAGATAAAATCATGACAGCAGAAGACTGTGATAGGTTATGCATATATAATGTAATGCCTACAGCAACCACTAACAAAACTACACAAAGTAATACACTAAAAAAATAGATAAATAAAAATGTCTAGCTAGGCATGGTGGCTCACGCCTATAATCTCTGCACTCTGGGAGGCTGAGGTGGGTGGATCACCTGAAGTCAGGAGTTCGAGACCAGCCTGACCAACCTAGTAAAACCCCATCTCTACTAAAAATGCAAAATTAGCTGGGCTTGGTGGTGCATGCCTGTAATCCCGGCTACTCAGGAGGTTGAGGCAGCAGAATCACTTGAACCCAGGAGGCAGCGGTCACAGTGAGCTGAGCTCGTGCCATTGCATGCCAGCCTGGGCAACAAGAGCAAAACTCCATCTCAAAAAAAAAAAAAAAAAAATTCTAAATGCTAAAAAGTATTCAGGTAACTCAGACAAAGTCAGGAAAGATAAATCAGAGAAACAAAGCACAGAGAGAACAAGCAGAAAACAAAAACTGAACCCCTATCATATCAATAATTACATTAAATATAGGTGGCCTACAGCACCACTTAAAAGACAGAGATTAGATAAGTGGATAAGAAAACATGACCCAACTATATGCTAGCTACAAGAAACTCACCTTAAATATAGTGATTTAAATAGGTTGAAAGTAAAAGGATGAAAAAGGTATGCCTTACAAATACTAATCTGAAGAAAGTAGAAGTGTGTCTGTATCAATATCAGATAAAGCAGGTTTCAGAGCAAAGAAAATTACCAGAGACAGAGAGGTATATTACATAATGATAAAAGAGTCAATTCTCCAAGAAGATATGGCAATTCTAAAAGTGTATGCATCAAATAACAGAGTTGCAAACTATGTAAAGCAAAAACTGATAAAACTGAAAAGAGAAATAGGGAAATTCATAATTATAGTTAAAAACTTTAATACCCAGGCTGGGCGTGGTGGCTTACACTTATAACCCCAGCACTTTGGGAGGCCAAGGTAGGAAGATTGCTTGAGGCCAGGAGTTTGAGACCAGCCTGGGCAACATAACAAGACCCAATCTCTACAATAAAATAAACAAAACAAACAAACTAAAACCTTCAATATCCCTCTCTCAATTGAACAACTAAACAGAAAACCAGCAAGGGTATGGAAGAACCCCACCATAAATCAACATACTCATATCAACCTTTATAGAACACATCACCTCACAAAGCAGAATACATATTATTTTCTTTTTTAAATTTTTTGTATTGTTTTTATTTTTATATTTTTAGAGATGGAGTCTCACTCTGTAGCCCAGGCTGGGGGTGCAGTGACATGACCATAGCTTGCTGTAACCTCTAACTCTTGGGCTCAAGTGATCCTTCCACCTCAGCCTCCTGAGTAGCTAGGACCACAGGTGTGTACCACCACTCCCAGCTAATTTTAAAAACTGTTTTTGTAGAGCTGGCATCTTACTACATTGCCCAATATGGTCTTGAACTCCTGGACTCAAGCAATCCTCCCACCTTGCACTGTGATTACAGACATGAGCCACCGCACCTGGCCACGTTATTTTCAAATGTCCAATGAACATATGTCAAGATAGATCATATCCTGAGACACAAATTAAATCTCAACAAATTTAAAAGAGTTTCAGAGTATGTTATCTGACTAAAATATAATCAAACTGGAAATCAATAAAAGAAAGATAATGGCAAAATTTCCAACTACTTGGAAACAAAGAAATATAATTCCAAATAATCCATGGATCAAAGAGGAAAGACTCCAGGCAGAAAATTGATCTGAATGAAAGTGAAACTACAGCATATTAAATTTTGTGGTATGTAGCTAAAGTCATGCTGAGAAGGAAACATAGAACATTAAATGCTTAGATTAGAAAAGAGGAAAAGTTTTCAATAATAATCTAAGTTTTCACCTTAAGATCCTAGAAAAATAAGATAAAAATAATCCCAAAGCAAGCAGAAAGAAGGAAATAATACAGATAAGAACAGAAATCAGTGAAATTAAAAACAGAAAAAAAATTAAATCAGTGAAAAAAGGAGCTGCCTCTTTGAAAATAATGAATAATATCAACAAACTGGGTGGGCATGGTGGCTCATGGCTGTAATCCCCCCCAGCACCTTAGGAGGTAGAGGCAGGAGGATCCCTTGAGGCCAGGAGTTTGAGATCAACCTGGGCAGCATAACGAGACCCTGTCTCTATTAAAAAAAACAAAAGCCTCTTTTGCCTCAAAAGAAGGAACAAGAAAACAAAAATAAGAAAGAAAAAAAAGAAAACAACTGACAATAAAAAATTATTGTACCAAGACTGACAGAAAAAAATCAGAAAAAAAATACAAATTACCAATATCAGGAGTGAAACAGGGTATGATACCATAACAGATGCTGCAGACCTCAAGAGAATGAGAATACTATGTACAACTCTACATACATAAATTTGACCCCTTAGATGAAATGAATCCATTCCTCAAAAAACACCAGCTACCACAATTAACCCAATATAAAATAATATGAATAGCCCTATAACTTTTGAGGAAATTGAATTTACAACTTAAAAACTCTCGAAATAGAAAACTCATGAAAGAAGGAAATAGAACCTTAATTTCCTCATCTGTAAAATAGGAATGATAGTTATAATATCATTTACCCTGCGGGGTTGCTCCTAAGATTAAATGAGCAAATGTCCAGGAGAGCACAATGTGTAAACCACATAAAAATTACTCTCCTCCTCTCTGATCTGTCCCCATCCCCACTGGCAACATTTGATGCCATGTTCTGGAACTGGCATGGAGAATCCAGTGACAAAATTGCCAGAGTGGTGTGGCCGTCATGGTCATCACCCAGCCAAGGTCTTCCCAGCCCCAGGGAAGGGAATAAAGTCAAGCACAACACCTTGAAGAAGCAAACGTAGCTTTTGTGTGGGAGGAAAGAAAAAATACAAGAGGAAAAGAGAAATGGAAATCACCATTATTCTTAATAATTACATGGAGCATTAGAATAATATGATTATTCAGTGGCATTCCAATTAGGCTTAATGAAGAATAATGGGAGTGAGAAAAGACCTGGAACATACAGTTTTATGTGGTATGCATCCCCCACCAGGCAGAGAAACACAAGGACCCCGGGGCTCAGAGACTGGAACAAGATGCACCCTGGGCTGGCTGGCGTTCACTCATAACTCCTGGCATCCACCTGTGACTCCTGGCGTGTGTTTGATGGGATTGGTTATCTAGGAAGCCATGCAGACACCCCTTGGCAAGGTTGTGGTGGGGATTAGCAGAGAGTACATTTTGTGAACTGTGAGTGGTATGGACCGTTGCTGTGGAAGGGAGGCTGGCAGGTGGCCCAGGTGTGGCATTGTGTGAGGTGTGACTCCCTCCCCACATGGGGTATATATACCTACCTACCTATATAAGGTATCTTGGAACACACAAATTAGGAATAAAGCAAGGGGTAAGAGGGGTCGGATTTAGTTGGTAAAGGCCTTGCAAGTTTTAGAAGTCCCAAATAACTGGTTCTATAGAAGACAGAGAGGAAAAAATACCTAGTCCCCCACCCTCCCCCCGGGTCCCACCACACTTTGCTGTCTGAGGGAGGGCTGGTTTGCCTTCATGGTGGTGAACTTACTATGAATTTCGTGGTTCTTGAAAGCATTTCTCTAGTGACTATTGACTGGACAGTGTTCCTGGTTACTGGTGTGATGGCCTCCCTCCCAACTCCCTCCCTCCCTCCCCCTTCCTTCCTTCCTTCCTTCATCCCTCCTTTCATCCCTCCCTCCCTCCCTCACTCGCTTCCTTCTTCCCTCGCTCCCTCCCTCCCTGCCTTATTTCTTCTGGGTGGGAGGAGAACTTGTCAGGTTGGGGTCAGCATGGGCAGTGAACTGAACCAGAATGAGGGAAAAGAAATAGAATATAATTTAGACTAAGCACTTGGAACCCTATGGACTGGGTGGGTGTGTCAGTTGAGACAGCCTAGGTTGTACTAGTTAAGAATCAGAGGCTTATTATAACAGGGTTTATTTCTCATTTATCCTAAATGTCATTCACTGGCAAGCTGGAGGCTCTACTAAGTGTTGTTGTCACTCTAAGACCCCATTTGACTGAGCTTCCACCATCTGGATTCTCGCACGTTGTGAAAGCAGAGGGACAGAGCGGGACAGAGAGCTCTGGTAATTAATTAAATGCTTCAGCCTCGAAGTGACACTTGCTACATCCACTCATAACTCAGTGACCAGAACGACCACATTGTCCCACCCAACCACAGGGTGTCCAGGGCAGGCAGTCCTACCACATGCCCACCAGGTGAGAAGTTAGAAATATTTTGAACAGCACTAATGAGGTTAAGAGTTTCCACAGGAGGCCCCCAAGCCCATTTGTCATGAGCTTTCCCAAGCCTGTAGCCATCGGCTACTCAATTGTCAAACACTTGCTAGGGGCCTATAGTTAGTTTGTCACTGGGTTGGGTACTGGAGAACAAAGATCAACAAGCTATAGCCCCTGGCCCTAAAGAGCTTAAGGATTCATGTAGCAGGTAGACGAGTAAACAAACAATTGGGATCCATCATTGTAAGTGCCATGACTAAGCAAAAGCAGGTGCTATGGGAACAACTGAGAAGTCTGGTCCAGCTTCTTGGAGGTGGTGATGCTTGAATGGATCCTGGGGATTGAGGAGGAGTGAGGCAGAAGAAGAAAGGGATGGGCATTCCAAGCAGAGAGAATGACATGTGCAAAGGCATGGAGGCAAGATACTTTCAGAAAAGAATAAAACATGGCTGGCATGCAGGATGGGGAATGCAATTGCTAAGAGAGGATGCTGGAGAGGTAGGAAGAGGCTAGGTCACAAAAGGCCTTACCTGTCATTCTAAAGACTGTGTTTGCAGTGGGAAGCCATCAGGGGCTTGAGCCACATTTTGGAAGCCACCCATTGGCTGTTGCATGAAAAAAAAATCACTTAGATGGGGCAAGACTGGAGATGGGGAGAACAGTTAGTAGATTGTGGCAGACAGTAATTCAGGTGAGAGATATCTGTGGTCTGACCCAGGCAGGGCAATGGCGAGGAATGCCAGTAGACAGAGGGGGTGGTATTAAGCTACCTATCAAGTAGACAGATTGATCCGTTGGACAGGATGAGCATGTTGTGAAAGACAGGCCTGAACTTGTGTCATGCTTTGTTTCTGTGCAAGTCAGCTCCATGTTGACTGCTTTAATTATTTTCTAGAACAAGGCAGGGCATAAAGCTATCATTCAAGCTGTCAGTACTTCCTATTTGCTGGCTCTGCATTAGACACAGAGGATTCAACACAAACAAAACCCAGCCCGTGCCTGGAGGAGCTCATAGTCTCAAGACATGTTCCTCACCTCAGTATACTGAAGAAGGACCAAGTGGCTGGGGGGAGGGTGGGGAGGACCTCTAGGTTTCTCTTACACAAGTGCTACTCAACTTCACTTATTCCAGCCTCACAGTCATGAAGTTCACCAATTCCGTGTCTCACCTGTATTGTTATTTATGTAATATCTTTCTTTAAACGAACTCACTTTTTTTTTTTTTTATTGAGACGGAGTCTCACTCTGTCACCCAGGCTGGAGTGCATGGCACGATCTCTAAACGAACTCACTTTTTAACCTTATGTGCCTACTTTAATCTCTTCCTAAGCAAAATAACTGATATCATATATTTGAATATGTTAGGGAATTTTTTTTTTTTTTTGAGTTGGAATCTTGCTCTGTCACCCCGGCTGAAGTACAGTGGCGCGATCACTGCAACCTCTGCCTCATGAGTTCAAGTAATTCTTCTGCCTCAACCTCCTGAGTAGCTGAGACTACAGGTGTGTGCCACCACGCCCAGCTAATTTTTGTATTTTTGGTAGAGACGGGGTTTCACCATATTGGCCAGGTTGGTCTCCTGACCTCGTGATCCACCCGCCTCAGCCTCCCAAAGTGCTGGGATTATGGGCATGAGCCACTGCGCCCAGCCCCTCCCTTCATCATTTTTATACCCAAATCCTTTTAGCACAGGTAAAGCCCTGACCTCCTGTCTTGTTCAAGTTCTTTTATTACCAGCTCCCCAAGGGTACAGACATTCAACAACACACTCGTTAAGGGTCCCTTGTGGACAAGGGCTGCTATATAAGCCCATGGAGGGCACCCAATGGCTATATCCTTACTGACTTGTTAAATACTGTTGGACAAACAGCGTTGGATCACGGGCAGTTACGGAGGTTATGTGAACTGCGGACCTATCTGCCTGCTGCTCCCCACGCTGGGATGGGGAGCATCATTCAGGTTACAGGTGCCTCACATGTCTGGGCGTGGGCACAGAGGAATTCACTTGGTGTGAAATGCTGGGAATCGCTGACGTACATGGCATGTTCTCAGGGGACCTCAGGGTTCTCAGAATTCTCCAAGGGATCCCCACTCTCTGGACACGTGTCTTTTTCTCACAGAAAACAGGCAGTGAAGCTCCACCATACTAGTCCCTGTTTTTCTACTAAAAGCCTCCCAGCTGGGAGGTAGCTTGGCCGACAAGCCTCTCGCATTGTCTAGAGACACTTTCTGGATTCACGATGCTAACAGAAAGCTATCAAGGTCATTAATGACAAGCACCAGGCATTCATGCTGGAGGAAAGGGGATTTTATTAGAGAGATGAACAATTTGACCTTAGAAAGGGCAGGAACCTGGGTAGCTAGGTAGCCAGAACCACAGCAGGTCCTTTAAGGAGCTGCCATCATGTGACCCTCTTCCTGAGTCTGTTTGGCAGAGTTTGCGTCCTAGCCCCACCCCATGTGTGTGGGGAGCAGCATGATTGGCAGCCTCTTTGCCACCAAGTGGAAAGGGAAGAGAGAAGTGAGTGCTGTTATCCTAAGGAAGGAAAGGGATGCTGCCCTCAGGAAAACCACAGATGTACATGCTGAGTTGCATAAAGAATAAGAGTGGGCCGAGCACCGTGGCTCAGGCCTGTAATCCCAGCATTTTGGGAGGCGGAGGCAGGCGGATCACTTGAGCTCAGGAATTCGAGACCTGCCTGGCCAACATGGCGAAACCCCGTCTCTACTAAAAATACAAAAATTAGCTGGGCCTGGTGGCTCATGCCTGTAAGCTCAGCTACTCGGGAGGCTGAGGCAGGAGGATCGTTTGAACCTGGGAGGTGGAGGTTGCAGTGAGACGACAGAGTGAGACTCACTCTCAAAAAAAAAAGAAATAACAGAGTGAAAAAATTAGAAGGTAACTTGAAGTCTATTTGGTCAACCCATTAAGTTAGGGATTAGGACATTCCTAACATTAAGTTAGGGATTAGGACCCAGAGAGGTTAAGTGACTGACTTGGCTCCTTGCCTCTTCAGTGGCAAAGCAGAGCCCCAAATTCAGGCGGGTTCCCTGACTCTCAGAGCAGGGCTTCTTCTTCATGCTCTATCTGCATTCAAAGCCAGAAATTATGCAACAGCTAAGTCTCTGTGATCTTCTCAGCACCCCCTGCCGGTGTGTTTCAGTTTGCTTCCTCTTAGAGCAGCATTAATATTTGAGTGCTCTATGAAAGAGGGTGGGACAAAACCTGCTAAATGTACATGGAAGCCAGCCCTGTCTGGTTGACCCGGGACACAGAAGGGACCCAGGGAGTCACACAAGACCACTGTTGGCCCAGAGAGGGGACGTTGAGAAGGACAGCTGGCTCATGTTGACTCCCCTCCCTCTAGCCAACCCCAGGGTACCATCTACCCACAGTTTCAGGAGACACCCCAAGGAAGATGAATTGTGCTGTTCACTGAGAGCAGAAGGGGACTAAGAACCCAAGCCTTTTCCAAAAGTAAGGCACTGTCTGGGGCCCATGACTTGCAATGTGCTGGCTTCATTGCTCTGACAACATGAAGGATGTTTGGTTTTGTTCCCAGCGCTGTTATCATTTATCTTCCTCTTGTAAGAGCTGGCACCCTCCGCCTGTTCCCTCTTCCTTCTCACTCTCTCCCAACTCCCACATTCAATCCAATCTCCCTATTTTCCTGATCCCCCTGCCACTGAGAGGAGCCCTCTTGTGTGTACCCCAGAGGAAACTCTCCCCTATTGGTTCCCAGAAGCCCAAGGGATACCCCTGTTGAACTCAACTCTTAAACATTTGCTGAGCAGTTCATCTGGGCAAAGTACTGTGCTTGAGGCTTTGGGTGGTAAAACAAACAAAAAAAAACATCAATAAGACAAGTTCTTGCCTTCAAGGAACCTGTCTTCCAGCAAAGAAACAACTATAGTGTCCTAGGCAGAGGGCATAAAACACAAAACAGAGTCACGCCCAGAGAGAACCGCACGTCAGGAAAGGCTGGGAAAGGGAGCGTAGAGGGCCTTTGAAAGAGCAGGGCAGCTGGGTGGAGGATGGAGGAAGACAGAGGCCTGGATGAGGAGTGAGTGGGGAAGAAGACAACAGAAACAACAAATATCTTGGGGAAAAAAAAACATGGCTGAGGACAGAAAGAGAGGAAGTCACAGCTGGAAGAGGAGCTACTGTATTTGAGCTGGTTTGAAGGTGAGAGGGAAGGAGCCAGTGGAATGGCAAGGCTGGAGCTACAAGAGAGAGGAAGTCACAGTGGAGCAAAGCTGGGGCCGGGATGGGTGAGGCAGGGTCGAGACAGAGGGAGGGCTGCCCCTGATGGACAGGGTTTGCCCAGAGCTCCGTACTGAGGCAGCCAAGACTGTGTCAATAGAGGTTTTGTAGCAATCATAGGCTGAGATAGAGTTGGCAGAGCAAGAATTTTATTGGAGTTGGGAGTCGGGGGTAGGGGGTTAACCAGTGAATGGTAAAAGGGAAGAAGCAGAATTGACCTGGGAAAGACTGGGCCACAGCCTGACACTCTCCCTGTCCAATCTGCTTTTGCAGGCGTTACTTCCTGTGTTCGCTTCCCAGGGCTTTGTAACAAATTACCACACCCTGAGTGGTTTCAAATCATAGAATAGAAACCTATTCTCTCACAGTTCAGGAGGCCAGAAGTTCAAAATCAAAATGTTGACAAGATTGGTTCCTTCTGGAGGTTCGGAAGCAGAATTGATTCCATGCTTCTTGCCTAGCTTCTTGAAATGGCTGGTGATCCTTGGCTTGGAGCTGTATCACTCCAGTCTCTGCCTCCATCTTCACATCTCCTTCTCTGTGTGTCTCTCCGTGTCTTCTCTTCTTACAAGGACACTAGTCCTGGGATTTAGAAATGTACCCTCGCCTGCAGCTGTGCCTTTGAAGGCAGCTCCATGTGGATGATTTAAATCTAGGATGACTTCATCTTGAGATCTTTAATCAATTATACCTGCAAAGACTCTATTTCCAAATAAAGTTACATTAGAAATTCTGGGTGGATGTGAATTTTGGGGGACATTATTCAACCCACTACACCCTCCCCCAATAAACGTCTTCCTAACTCCATCTCAGCATCTGCCTACCGGAGGGCCCAAACTGAACCCCTGGCAGACTGAGAACTGTAGGAATAAAAGCAGGTTTTTCCGCTGCTGGTATGGCCAAGAAATGGAAAGAGACAGGAGGTTTACTGATCTATTCATTTGATCAGCATGCATTTATTCCATATGGAAGATTCCAGAGTTGTGGTCTTGGTGGTAAAGTCTTAGGTGGCACTGAGGGTGTGAGGGCTGATGCAATAAACTGGAGTGGGCTATTGAGGGATTGGGGGAGCAGAAGAAGGGCTGAGGTGGGTCAGCAGCATGGCCCCCTCCAGAGGACACTCGGGACTTACCTGGTGGCCTGCACTCTTCTTGGCAGGTCTTGAGGAACCATGACTGGCCACCTCTGGGCTCTGTCTATTTCCCTCCTTGACCGTCGAGGAGAAGTAGACATTGTGTTGAGAGCAATCACCATCACCGTGATCAACAAACATACCAAAAGTATAAAACTTGGAAAGATGGGATAACAGATCAAAATAAAGGAAACTGGTAAACAAAGTCTCATCTTTGTACGTCCTCAGGAAATTGGGAACCTACCATGTACTGGAATAACTGCGGGGAACACGGCGAACTATGTGGCCACTATCCCTGGAAAGGCAAGACCTACACCTGAAACACAAGAGAATGCTGATGAGAAAACCCTTCCTTACCCCACTGGCATTTGGCTCCTTATATATTTTGATGCATGAAGTTATCCGTATTGTAAATGGATGGAGCCCTTAAAATTTGTGTCTGCAACTGAGAATTGCTTGAAAATTATCTTCTTCCTATTGGTTGGGTTATTAATTCATTACTGGGGAGAGGTAGCAATTTCCATGTAAGTTGCGACTGGTGGCTTAATATGGTCTTCAGAGACGTACCCTCACCTGCAGCTGTGCCTTTGAAGGCAGCTCCATGCCGATGCTTAGCACACTGAAGACGTCCCCACAGCTACTTCTGTGGAGACGGCTGCACAGAGCTTAGGAGAAGGTTCTGCGGGCTACCTGAAAATCAGGACCGCACTCACCTGTACTCTGGGTTGGCAGAAGACCTAATCGTGGATCGGTACTCAAGTGCAAAAAGCACTGTTCTGCCTAATTAATTCCTCTGCATTGACATTTTGTAGCATTCATGGAACTTTCTGGCATGTCCTGGTTCTGTAGAATGACAACTCTCTTGAAGTCCGGGTGATTTCTGTTCTTTGAGTGTGAAGTGAATTTGCAATTGAGGCAAAATAAAATATATAGGTGGTAAGGTTTTCAATCTTCTTCTATGCCCTCCAACCCACATTCTCTGCTAAAGAGGAGATTTTACTGACAGGATTAGCTTCTAGTCCTTCATGACATTTTCCAGTCAAGTCCTAGAAAATTATAGGTGTGTTTGGCAGGGATGGGTGGGTGTGGGTGGGGTGGTTGTGAGCATGTTGTATTGGCCCACCCTAAGCGCCCCTCACCACCAAAGATGTAGCCTCTGGAAGAGATTACTACCTGACTTGCCAAGTTATTCAATTCTGTCTCAGGCTCATGAATCCAACCTAAAGTTGATACACAGGAAGCAACCAGAGGACAGTTTGAGAGCTCAGAATCAGAGAACCTGCGAGTAGCTGAGAGTCTGTTTCCATTCCCAAAGAGTTGTGGGTAGAAGGGTACAGCTTGCCTCATATGGCCCAGAAAGCAGGACCAGGATGGAGGATGGAGTAAGATGGGAAGATATGAAAGGCAGAGAAGTGGACCCAATCCATTTTTTGATGATTAGACATATACAAAAAAATGGGAATGGATTGATCAGGGTGTATTGTTGGCCAGATTTAGCAAAAAACAAAACAAAACAAAAAAACAGGACACTCAGTTAAATTTGAATTTCAGATAAACAATAAATCATCCCATACTATATTTGGGACATATTTATACTAAAACATTATTCATTGTTTATCTGAAATTCAAATTTAACTGGGCATCTTGTATTTTATCTGGACACCCTCCCAGGACAATGAGTTTTTGTCACTGAAGGTGTCCAAGCCGAGTCTGGGACACAGGTGGAAGGCTGTTGCATGGGGATGAGTTGAGATCTCAAATAGCAGCTTGGGTTGAAGAGCCCCACTCCCAGTCAGGCAATCGATTTCACCTTTTTCCCAGTTGCAGAGTGTTCAGGTAAGGGGCATCCTCCTGCTCAGGGGAAGGGCTGTTAATTCACTGTCCATTTGAGTGTGAAGTGAATTTGCAACTGAGGCAACTAGGTCTATCAGCAACTTGTTTAGAGCTCTGTCCTCAGTCACCTACAGCAGCAGCTGGCATCCTGCATCCAAGAGCTGCTAGCCTGGGGATGATGCAGGTGTGGACCCCCCCAGGGCTGGACTCCCTCCCGCTTCAGCCCTTATCAAGCCTCTCTTGGGTGGTGAGCTGTTGCCTGCCCCTAGGCCGCTGGCTCCCTTGGCCTGTCATCACCCACACACACTCCATTAGGGGACTGGAGTGACTTACAGGGGCTCCTCTCCCCCAGGATCAGCATTTGCATAGGGTGATGGATGCTGAGATGTCATCAAAACACATTCGCACTTTGCATTTTAAACAAAGCAATTTCCAGAGGAAGCTGGGGGAGCTTTGTCTCCTTCCAGGAACAGTTCCTCTGAATCACATTGTCTTTCCTTTTGGCCAGCAGTTTCCACATCTGCCCTGAGGCCCTCCCCTCTGTTGGCCTCCTGTCCCTGCTTCCCCCCACCTAGTGACCTCAATGTGAAGCAGAGGGTAGCCTGAGACATAGAATAAAGGAAGTCACAGGTCCCTGGCCAAGACCAGGCAAGGACCACCCAGGCTTTCCTCTGTACCTGACACTGGTGTCTCCTTCCCATTCCCCATCCTGCAGGACACCCGTGACTAGGATAGGAGAGCAATCTTAGCCAGGACAAGCCCCCTATAAGGCATGGTTTGTGAGACACAGAACATCTGCTCCAAACATTCCTGCCCTGCAAACGTCTCCATGTCCCACGGTGCAAGCCAGGCGTTGCCTCCTAAGATCCTTCTGCGTTCTGTCTGGGAATATGGGATTCCTTCTGCCTAAGCTCTGACTTCTCATTCCGTACAGTTAAGACTTTTTCCTCTTAGTAAGTCTGAGCCTTCACTCCAGGGACCTCTAGGATGATGATAAAAATGTCACCATAATATAAGTGCCTAAGGTTCGGCTGAATTTTTTTCTCCAAAGACACGTGGAAAGGAATAAGGTAGGAGGATTTTTGTTCCCTGTAATGTAGTCTGAAGGCAGCAGCATCATCTCAGCTCAGTTACTTCTGCAGGGCATGTCTTTGGGTAAAGTCACTTAACCAGCAAACTGGCAGAGCAGTGCCTCCTCTGGTGGCTCCACTGTCACAGAGCACGGGAGCTGCTCGGCGCAGAAGTCTCCAAATGCATGCTTGCGTCTCCTCTCTCCCTTCCTGCCCTGATGGAGATGTTAGTAAGCTGACCTGGGCTGGGGACAAGCTGTGCCTGGCAGGGATGAGGGGCAGACATCTGTAGCTGGGGGAGGCTCCCGTGAGGCCATGGGTATCTTACAGTAAAAGGAGGGTTGGTGGGGAGCAAATACTTGTTAAGTGCCTACTATGCACCCAGTCTTTTAGACAACAATTGCATAGTCTGAAATATGACATGGTGGTTAGGAGAAGAGACATTAATTGAACTCATACAGATCTGGATTCAAATCTGACCTCTGTAACCTCAAGCAAGTAGAATAACCTTTCTGAGCGTTGGTCTCCCATAAAATGAAGGCAGTGGCATTTACAGTGGACACTCATTGTGAGGAATGAAGGGCCTAATATGTGTGAAGTGTCTGGGATATGGGAGCATCCACTAATGCTGCCCATTAGCATCCTCCCTTGGCGTGATCAGCTGCATTGCACAGATTGGGAGCGGAGGTGGCTGGCCCGTGGCCATGCAGCCAGTGAGTGGCAGGGCAGACTTCTGGGCCTCAGCTAGTCTGAATCTGAAACCCATGTTTCATCCCATAGCCAGTCCATGGACAACAAAACGCTTGACCCACTGTCTCCAGGTAGGGGAGACAGATCTGACCCTGTCACTCCCCTGCTTGAAACTCCGCAGGATTTCCCACTGCTCTTGCCATGTTGAGCAGTGTCCTCAATGATCTGGCCCTTGCAATTTCCAGCCTTCTCTTTTCTCCCTCATCCTCTGCCCCCGCTCAACCAATCAGGTGGTCTTCTTCCAGTTTGTTGGGCAGGCATGGAGCAGAGCAGCCTCTCTCTCTCTCTTTCTCCCCTGGACAGCATTTCTCTTCTTTCTTCCTGAAACACTGTTCCCTCCCTCACCTGGTTAACTCCACTCCTTCAGGACTTGGCCTCAACCTGCTGCCCCAGGGCTGATGTCCTTGGACAACTGTTCTTCACCATCCCTACCACTAAAGGCCAGGTTGGTGCCTGCCTCCATTAAAGTCTCTCTTATATTGCTAAAAGTCTCCTGTAATAAAATACACTCGTGAACCACTAGTTCAATGTTTACCTTCCCTGCTGGACTCTGAGCTCCCACCATACCCCGCAAATCTAGCCCTGTGCCAGATGATGAATGAATGAGAAATAGATAATGAGTCAAATGTCAAGGAAACACTGGAAGCCATTCTTCTAGAAGGGCCCCTGTGTTCCACCTAGAGGTCCAGGAAGCACAGTGTGGGGGCATCAACTCCTGTTATCAAGCTCTTCCCCCCAATGCCACCTGGGGCAAACATCCCATGCTCTGCATGGACAGTTTCTGTTCAGACTCAGCCTTCAGGTCCAAGGAGAGACTGCTCTGGTAGAATTAACTGGAAAAATTTAGGAGCATTGGAGGGGAGAGGGCACACCTTAGGTTGGAAAGGCCTTGCCTTGCTGGGTGCTTGCTGAAACAAGACTTAAAACAACTGCTTGGCCAGGCGTGGTGGCTCACGCCTGTAATCCCAGCACTTTGGGAGGCCGAGGCAGGCGGATCACGAGGTCTGGAGATCGAGACCATCCTGGCTAATACGGTGAAACGCTGTCTCTACTAAAAATACAAAAAAATTAGCCAGGCATGGTGGCGGGCGCCTGTAGTCCCGGCTACTCGGGAGGCTGAGGCAGGACAATGGCGTGAACCCCAGAGGCAGAGCTTGCAGTGAGCCAAGATCGCGCCACTGTACTCCAGCCTGGGTGACAGAGCGAGACTCGGTCTCAAAAAAATAAAAAATAAAAATAAATGAATAAATAAAACAACTGCTACAACCTTTGAGCCTGGAGGTGGGTCCCAGAGGGGCACATCCTGGTTCAGTAGAAGGACAATGCACACAGCAAAGCCTTGGGGCAGGCAAGGGCAGCTCTCTCAGGTTCACAGTTTCTGTTCTTGGAGTGTGAAGTGAATTTGCAACTGAGGTAAGATAAACGACATAGGTGGTGAGGTTTCCAGTCTTCCTCCATCACTCCCGCCCCATATCCTCTGCTGAAGAAGAGATTTTGCTCACTGGATCAGCCTCTAGCCCTTTAACCTGTGCAGGAAAATGGGAAAATGTTTAAGTGGCTACGCAGTCTGGATCAGGGATGGATCAGTGAGGGAGGGATGAGAAGAGGGGAGTAAAGACTTGTGGCACTTTCAGTTGTTTTGGGGTTTGCTGGGTTGTTGTTTCTTTGCAAGTGACTGGCTGGGCATTAAACATGGCATTGGGGTTTCACCTGGGACATGTATTAAATAGGGATCTTAAGAATGAGGTTGATAGGTTGTCCTGCCCTCTTGGTGCAGTGGGCAGTCCATCAGTGTGATAATCTGAAGAAAGGGGTTGATAGCTGGGTGCGGTGACTCACGCCTGTAATCCCAGCACTTTGGGAGGCTGAGGCGGGTGGATTGCTTGAGGTCAGGAGTTCGAGACCAGCCTGGCCAACATAGTGAAACCCATCTCTACTAAAAATACAAAAATTAACTGGACATGGTGGCAGGCGCCTGTAATCCCAGCTACTTGGGAGGCTGAGGCAGGAGAATTGCTTGAACCTAGGAAGCGGGGGTTGCAGTGAGCCAAGATTGTGCCACTGCACTCCAGCCTGGACAACAGAGAAAGACTCTGTCTCAAAGAAAAAGCAAAAGAAAAAAAGGGGTGGGGTGGAAGTACAGACCACATGACAGGTGGGCTGTTCTCAAGTGTTCCTGGGCCAGCCCAGGCACCTGGTTGGCCCCCTCCTTTTTGCCCACCCCTGTATTAGTCTTGCTCCAAGCTTGTCCTGTCTGCCTGTGGGAGGAGGGGATGGAAAGCTCTGCCTGTCCTTCTCCACCACAAGGGAAGTGGAAGAGACTCTTCAGTACCCAAGTGAAAGCCCTGGTGCCTTGTGGCTTGGTCCTGGTTTGTGACAGCTGACAATGGGATCTTTGCATAGGTGGGTGGGACATTTGGGCTGATAAGGGAGAGATGTCTGTAGAAGTGAGATCAATGGCCTGGAAAAAGTAAGTAGGAGAAAAGGTCTCAAAAGTCTCTTAGTTCTTCTCCCCCACCATTCTGCAGAGAAGGCTTCACTTCTGACCATCAGATGCTGGACTTCAAATGGCCAACCCCAGGAGCCTCTGCCCATCCCAGGCAAGGGGAGGAAGTAATGAGAGAAAACCCAGAGGTAGACCAGAAGTGTAGGGACAGACAATCAGGGACTGGGGCCACTTGGGGAGAGGAAGAAGAGGATGTGGAGTCACCTTTGTTCTTAGCACACTTCAACGGGGGCCTCTTAGGTCTGCCAAGAAGGGTCTCCACCTCTTTGAGACCTGAAGCCACAGGTGCTGCCTGGCTTCACAAAACAAAAAGTTGACATAGACAGGAACCAGGCTGGGGCAGACCGCAGGACCAGAGCAATCTCTCCTTGGACCTGAAGGCTGAGTCTGAACAGAAACTGTCCATGCAGAGCATGGGATGTTTGCCCCTGATAGAAGTGTCAGAGTAGAGTGAGGCCAGATGGGGTGCAGATGGCACTGGGGGGAAGAGCTTGGTTGGACCTGAGGGCTGAGTCTGAACAGAAGCTGCTCATGCAGTGTGTAGGATGTTTGCCTCTGATAGAAGTGTCAGGGTAGAGTGACGCCAGGTGGGGTGCAGAAGGCACTGGGGGGAAGAACTTGGTAACAGGAGTTGACGCCCCCACACTGTTTCCTGGAACTCTGGGTGGAACACAGGGGCCCTTCTAGAAGAATGGCTTCCAGTTTTTCCTTGATAATGCCCAGAGTACATCTAAATCAGGGTTTCTCAACTTCAGCACCACTGACATCTGGGGTGAGATAATTCTTTCAGTGGGGGGCTGTCCTGTGCCCTGTAGGATGTCTGGCAGCATCCCTGGCCTCCACCCCTGTAGCTATGCTCAGTGTGACAACAAAAGATGTCTCCAGACATTGCAAAATGTCCCCTGGGGGGAAAATTGCCCCCATTTGTGGACTCCTGGCCTAAATCTAGTCAAGCAGTTGTGTACTTGCCAGTCCAGCGAGCTTTTCAGCACCCCATACTGTTTTTGAAAAATCAAGGGTGAAGTTATAGTTCTGATTCTTCCAGCAAGGGTCTTTTCCCCAGAAGCTCCCTTTTGGGTTATTTTGCTCAGCTGACAAATAATGACATAAAAGGTGATCGCTAAGCTCCTTCTACTCCACAAATCTATGTTCACCGGATTAATTTACTTTATTGCCTGTGAGGACAGGTAGAGAACAATGGAGGGGTTGGCTGGGTGTGAGAAGGAATTCTCAGCTGGGAAAGACCACCAGTGCTACATCTGCTATTGGGGGAAGCACATTTCCTGTTTCCTGTTTAGCTGGTCCTATGGTCTAAGGCCTTTTTGGCGATACGTCTCCCCTGGACCTGTGACAGCATCTCACCCTTAACACGACTGATTCTCCCACCCAGTCCCCAAGCTTGCCCTCCCTCAGTCTTTCCCATCTCAGTGGATAACAACCTTACTCCTTCCAGTTTCTGCGGCCGAAATCTTTGGAATTACCCACATCTCCTTTCTTTCTCTCACATTCCACATTCAATTTATCAGCAAATCTGGTGGCTTCAAAGTAGATCTAGAACCTAAGCATTTCTTTTATTTTTATTTTTATTTATTTTTTTGAGACAGTCTTGCCGCGTCACCCAGGGTGGAGTGCGGTGATGCGATCTCGGCTCACTGCAACCTCCGCTTCCCAGCTCAAGCTATCCTCCATCTTCAGACTCTCGAGCTGCTGGGACCACAGGTGCAAGCCATCATGCCAGCTCATTTTTGTGTTTTTTTGTAGAGACAGGGTTTCACCATGTTGCTTAGGTCTCCAACTCCTGAGCTCAAAGTGACCCACTCACCTTGACATCCCAAGGTGCTAGGATTACAGGCATGAGCCACTGTGGCCAGCCCCCAGTGCGTCTTAACACCTGCTCTGAAACATCCCTGCTCCAAGCCACAGTCACCTCACCAGTGGTCTTCTAGCTGTTCTTCCTGCTTCCACCCTGTCCTCTTGGAGCGTGTTATTAACACAGCAGCCAAAAGAGGAGAGGGACAACCAAAGCCCCCATGACAAGTTTGGGGCAAAACTAAGATGGGGTGGGCACAAAGGTGGGGCCAGCCAGGTGCCTCTGGTGGCCCAGGAAGACTTGAGGATGACACACCTGTCCCATGTACTTCCACCCCGGCCCCATTCTCAAGACCACTATTTAAATACATGACCCGGATAAAACCCCAATGCCACGTTCGATGCCCAGCCAGACACTTTCAAAGAAACAACAGCCCAGCAAACCACAAAACAACTGAAAGTCCTATTAAAATGTGTGATCGTGTCACCCCTGTATTCAGACGCTTCCACTGGTTCCTCATGTAATCTCTTAGCCTGAGAGCCACACTTACTATGGCCTTGTGCCCCTTGTTCCCCAGGGCCTCCCCCATTCCATTTCGCCCACACTCCTTTCCTTGAAGCTTGCTGAATATGCCAAGCATAGTCTTACCCCAGGGCCTTTGCCCTGGCTGCTCTCTCTGCATGAAGAGCTTTCCCTCCATACACCCACAGAATCCTCACTTTCTTTAACTTTTATTGTTGAACGTAACATCCTCATTGAGACTGCTCTGACCACTCCCTTAAAACTTGTAGCCTCCTACCCATTTCTGATCACCCATACCTTGCTTCCCCCCAACTCACTTACACTATATACATTCTAACAAACTATATAATTTGGTTATTTGCTGTGCTTATTTTCTCTCTCTTCCTCCCAGTAGACTGTCTGCTCCATGAAGAATGAAGATGGATTTTGTTTGTTCTTGTTTCTCTTTTTTTTGAGGTGGAGTCTCACTCTGTCGCCCAGGCTGGAGTGCAGTGGTTTGATCTCAGCTCACTGCAACCTCCGCCTTCTGGGTTCAAGCGATTCTCCTGCCTGAGCCTCCCGAGTAGCTGGGCCTACAGATGCGTGCCACCATGCCTGGCTAATTTTTGTATTTTTAGTAGAGACGGGTTTTCACCATATTGGCCAGGTTGGTCTTAAACTCTTGACCTCGTGATCCACCCGCCTAGGCCTCCCAAAGTGCTGGGATTACAGGTGTGAGCCACCGTGCTCGGCCTTGTTTGTTCTCTTTATGGAGATAGTCTCCATGCCCAGGATAGGGCCTGGAATGGGTAGATCCTCAGCAAATATTTGTTGAATGAATGAATATTAGTTGAATTTTTCCCCTTTCTTTGAAGCTTCACTTTTTTGCTAACAAAAAAAAAAAAAAAAAAAGAGAGAGACTAGAGAATGAATGGAGATGGAGGTATGGATGAGGGTTAGGTCTTTGAAAATATGAGCTATTAGTTGGTCTGATCACAATTACATGTATAAATGGAAAAGGTAGCACAGAATATCCTAATATACAGATAATCAAATAAAGATTTTCATTTTGACTGCATTACGTGATATTATGGTTGACTTTCTTTCCTAATTACTTTTTTCTTAAGATAGCAACATAAATAGCAGCCGTGTGTGCATTCTTTTAAGGTGAATTACCTAAAAAGAATCTACAAATTGAGTACTTTCATTCCCACAAGTACATAATGCATATCATGCATGAAGGTGTTAAATGCAAAGATAACCATGTGGTTCTTATCTTCCAAGAGCTGCAGGAGACTCACAAACCTCTCACTGAAAGTTGACCAGACCCTGAGCTGTTCACGTATGTGGGTTCTGTGGGCATTATGGTTGGCTGTCTTCTAGACTTCTAGACTTCCAACCTACTCCTTTCCCACAGTGTGGCAGCTAGGCCATTGAGTGGAACTGATTCTACCCCAGGCTGGTCATGGGGATTCACTAAGGGATAGATACAAAACCCGGTGGAGTTCAGAAAGAAGTTCAGACATTTTCCATGGTTGCAGAAAGAGATTTTCTCTCTCCCACAAGGTGTGAAACAAAAAACTGGCAGCCTTCTTGCTACCAGGAAAGAGGCCAGCATAAGGATGAAACAAACACGCAGAAGAACTGGGGGAATCGGAAAAGCTGAACCATAACCCTATTGACTTTGTAAACCCCTGGATCAAACCCTGCCTGATGCCTACCCCACTTCCGGACTCACATATAAATCCAGTAAGCCAGTATAAGCTAAGGTAACTTTTACTTGAAACAAAAGGCATCTTGAAATGTCTTCTTTGATCTCTTTCAGGCCCTCCCCTCTGCTTCTCACTGGTCCTGAGTGTGTCCTGGAATAACATGTGGGCTGTGCTATCCGGTGTTGTGTGTGTCACAGATGCAATTCAAAATCCTAAGGTAATGAATTGGTTTTCATTCACATATATCTGATATCTCATTTCTCTGGCATTAATGAAAGTAATCGATTGCCTTACCATTAATATTAAAAGCATAAAAGCAACAGGGAGCTTCTCAGACCTGCAGCATACTTCTCCAGTTGCATTCCTGAGCTTTGCTGGTGAACATGTTTTAAAATGACACCATGGGACTTCCCAGGGAACACTAAGGCTGGGTTGCCTCTCCCAACGGCCTCTCCTAGCCTCAGCCTGAAACCCAAGGGCAGTGCTGTCTGGGGGACAGTCAGCCCAGAAAGACAATGTGTGAAGAAACTCAATAGTTCCTTTCCTTATTTATTAGATTCCAGATACATGGGACCAGGATGGAAGCATCCTAGGGCATTTGATTTACATGGGGGTTTCTGGGAGAACATATACAGAGGCAGAAAGACATACAAGTAGGTGATGCTGCAATGGGGAACTGCCATTTTAAAAAATATATACATCTTAAGAAGCCATTCCAGCCATATTATCATTATTAGAAAATAAAACAATCTTTCCACATAGTGCTTTTCTTTGGTGCTGTTCCGTGAGCATGGACTCTGGACCCTTCAGTCTTCTTGTCACAAGCTGGTCACCCTCCCCTGCCACTTCCATCTGCACAGAGGGAGGGCAGAGTCTATGGGGAAAGGAGGCCCCCCCCACCGACACAGGTGGGTGCAGGTTCCAGCTCCTCTAAGGCGCTGCCATGGCCTCCCGACTCTGCTGGAGTCTTGAGAGCCTCTTACTTGGTTCTTAAAGTGTGGCCCGAGGAAGTTCCCTATATGCAAAGATTGGTTTTCACACATGACGAGTTCACAAAGTGACAAAGCCAGTCTGGAAACTTTAGAACGTATAAGGACAAGGGGACCAAACAAAACCCAGCCATACCACCTTCTCCATGGTTGGATTTTCATGTTTTATTTCTTGGTTCATTTCAAATGACCTGTATCATGAGAGTACAGCTGAGACAGGCTGTTTCCTCTTTACAGATTTTCCAGAAATGGCAGGTTTAGGGTAAACTTGAGATCTGTTCCACTGGGGGAAGGTTCCCCTAAACTCTCCTCACTTCACCACCTTCCACTAAGTCAGTCCTCTCCCTTCCCCGGAGAGGGTCCTCATCTGGCCAGGATTCCAGCTAAGAAGTTGGCCCCTGAACTTCTTTTCTGAGTGTCCAATGGACCCCTTCAGTACCAGGAACTTTCCCATTGGATGGAGTTCCATTGTTACTGACACATTTCCTGTTGTGATCTGAGTTTTAAGTATAAAAGCAGCTTCCACCTCATGGACACCAACCATCAGGACTTCCGCCCCACTCTGCTAGAGGGGCTCTGAAGTGAGGTCACTCGCAGCAACACTAGATCCAGTGAGGTGCAGCTGCCTGGTGTGCAGAACACCCACTTGCTCCAAGCCAGATGTTACATGGTGAGCCAGAGATGCTTTCCCTAGAAAAGACAGACAGCAGATGCCAGCTGGGCATGATGCCCTGCCGCCTGGGTCCTCCAGCTTGAGCAGGAAGTGACAGAGCAGGGTGCTACCTCGGCCCCGCTGCAAGGACACAGCACAGTGAGAGACTGAGGGAGTCCCAAAGCACACACCCCAAGGTCTCTACTGTGAAGGTTTCTCCGGAGCAGAACCTCAGGGCAGAGCCTCTAAACACTGTGCTAGACTTGGTTTGTAGCTGGTGTTCCTTGATGCCAAGAAGGGGCCTTTGCCCCAAATGTGTGCCTCCACCCAAATGAGGGAAGATGGGCTGCATGGAGGGCTAGGGCCGCAGCATCCTGGGTAACGGCTCCAGTGCCTACTCATCAAGTGACTCAGACCCGATTCCCCACAGGCAAGGGGAGCCGGAGGGACACATCACTGGTCTGGGAGGGCTCTTGAAATCCTTAACATTTTCTGTGTGGGACACCATCAGAGAGCTGCTCTGCAGTTTGTGGATTTCAGCCAGCCCTCCCTCCTGTCTGGGATGACCTCAGCACGTCCCAGCCCAGAAGCCCAGGCCGGGAGGTTCCTGGGGTAGAGCCAAGGAGGTGGGACCAGGGCTTCTATGGAAAAGCTGCAGAAAGTTACCTGGCCTCCTGGTGTCCTAGTGCTGGGTGAGATCTGCCTGCCTCTCTCATTGAGGGGGGTTGGACTAGAAGGGCGTGGATTGGGGATCCCCGGGGAGTTGCTCTGATCCCTGCTTGTGAAGGCAGCTGATTGGAAGGGGCATTTTCCATCATGGCTTGACATTCTTTCATCCTTGGGAGATCCTCTAAGCTGCTCTTGGCCAACCTGTGAGCACAAATGGGTGTTCAGGGCTGCCCCTTGAGTTAGTGAAAACTTTCACGGCCATCCACAGAAATAGAGTGACCCACTGTCCCCGTGTGCCTGGGGTAGAGGAGTTTCCTGGGATAAAGAAACGTCCTGGACAAACCAAGACGGTTGGTTACCTGGCACAGCCAGGGGGACTGCAGGGGTCCTGCCAGAGAGCTGGCGTGCTCGCGGTGCCCAGGGGAGCTACACCAAACCTCTGGTAGCCCAAGTGTGGTAGGAGGGCACCCCTCCTGTGGCACTGGTACACTAGCCCTGTGGCATGATGCTGAGTGCAGGGAAGGGAAGCCAGGAAGGATGAGGCAGGCCACCCCGCTGAGTTCCCTCCCTTTGGGGCTCCCCTGCCTACTTATCTCAGCTGCTCGGCCTTTCTGTGCTTGGCAAAGATGAGTCTGGGCCTCTGTCCATCCTGTCCTGATCCTCCCCCCGGGGTGCTCTTGGATGGAGCCAGGCTCCTGAGCTTCTCACAGGCTCACTTGGCCTGGACCTGCCCTTCAGGGAGAGGGGGAAGGCAGGAAGAGGGAGAGGGTTCTTGGGAGGATGGTGTGGTCCCCGCTCTTCTCTGTGCCAGCGCGTTCCTGTCTACAGCCCCTGGAGTCGCTGTGGCTGGCTGAACCCACTGGGTGAGTGAGCTCTGAGGTAGGGTCAGGAAGTAGCGGGGGACTCCCGGGGGGAGGAGAAGAGGAGGAGGACAGGTGGACACCGGCGCGGTGGGTGACAGGCAGGGGGGTAGGCCCCGAGGGGTGGGGTGCCCAGGAAGCACTTGAGCTCTAGCCGCTGCTCTCCTGTGGGTACCCCCTGGCTGAAAGCTGAGTGGAAACTGTGGAAGGTATGGGGCCTCTTGACCGGCCCCAGAGGATCTCAGAGCAGGTAGGACCTCTGGAAGAAAGATACTGTTGTCCCTTGCGTACCTGCCCTCTGCGGAAGGAAAACCTCCAGGTGGTATCCAGCCTGAGCAGTGCCCACCCAGGCCACAGATGGGGGAGGGGGCAAGGGAGTTAGGAAATGCACATGCTGCCTCTTGGTGGCTCGGTGGAGGGGAGAGGGCACTTGCTCCAGTGGCCTCCACTCCTGAAGGGAGTCAGCCCTGGCCCAGGCCTCCGCACCGTCCATGGAGAAGGAAAGACATACCAAAGAAAAAGCCAGTTACAGTCGAGCCCCACACCCCTGCCCCCCCATCCCCGTCCCCCACCCCACTGCACCCGGGAGTCTGCACACAGCCAGGAGGTGAGAAACCCCCGCCTCTGGGACAGCTCAGAGCCATGATACAGGGGTTGAAGGTGGAGGCTGGTGGCTGTGGAGGTCTCCACCTCGGTCTGTCCGTTTGTCTGTCTGTAGGTGGGCATTGGTCCGTGTGCGGGGCCATCACACCTTGGCCTCCAGCATCTCCAGGAAGAGTTTGTGCATGGGCACTTTGCCCTGCAGTTTGACGCTATAGAAGTGCTGCACGGCCTTGGCGGCCGTCTGCCGCAGCAGCGGCAGTGTCAGCAGCAGCTTGCCCGTCCTCCAGGGCTCCTCATGGCGCTGGCTCAGCTCGTAGTCCTGCAGTGCCTCGTGCAGCAGGTCCTGCAGCTTCTGGACAGCCTCTAGATCCTCGATGTACATGGAATCTGCAGGCACAAGGACGAGCATTAGCAGGCTTGGCCAGGGAGTGCTGCCTGGTGTGGGGGCCATCTTGGGGTCCAGGAGGCAGCATGGAGGCAGGCAGGGGTATCTTCAGAACCCTCTCTTCACAGAGAGCCAATCTGAGGCCCAGAGAGGTCACAGAAGCTAATGACAGAGCTGGGACTCAAACCCAGGGAGAGACTGGCGTCTACAGGGGACATTTCTCAAGAGGTCACCAGGGGGTGGCAGCAGAGACCCTGGAGCCAGACTTGGAATCCTGTGTCCCTTACTTGCAGGCTGTGTGATTTTGGGCAAGTTATTAACTTCTCTGAGCCTCATTTTCCTCACTTGTAAAATGGGATAATAGCCATGCCTACCTCAAGGGCTTAAAGGAGTTAAACAGGTCAAGGGTTTATAACAGAACTTGTCACAAGTCAGTGCCCTGGTAGCGGTATCACCCCTACCACCGCCCCTAGCCCCATCACTACTATCACCATGACAACCACTGCAGCTGCCGCTGCCAGGCACCAGCTCCCCAAGTCTTCAGTGCAATCGCTAACCTGACAAAATTCTGGTTATAGGACACAGAATACAGGCACAGATATAGGGGCTGAGCACTGTGTCAAGGTGGCGGCATGAGGCACGGTGATGGAGGGAGCTATAGGGAGTTCTCTAAAATCTTGGGAAAGGTTTTGAACTTAGGCCATGACCTAGGGGTTCAAACAAAATTTACCTACATCCCAGCACGGCAGGGAGGCACCTGCTGACGGCCACGTTACAGCTGGGTCTAAGCCGGCTGTAAAACACAGGAGTGAGGACTCACAGGGTGGTGGTGAGGGTGACTGAAGCAGCACATTACCCAGAGCGTGATCAGCACCTGGTCAATGTCAGGTAGTGTTATTCCTGTGGGGACTCAGGCTGGGGGTGAGTGTCCTTGCAGGGCTGAGTCTTCACTGGCCCCACACCCAAGCCTCCTCCACATTTTTCTGCTCCCTGCTACCAAGGCAGTGAGCACTCCTTCGTCATCAGGTGGGAGATGAAGCAAGGCCCTAATCCTACACTCTCGGCCACTTACAGAGTGTGTACCTAACATGGCTGGGCATTGCCATGTGGGCTCCTGACTCCTGCCAGCTCCCTCTCCCCGCCCTCTCCATCCTCCCCCGACTCTCCCCAAGGAGGACAAAATTGGCAGCTGCCTTCGACCAAAAATGAAATAAAATAACATTGCAAGATTAATTTCTTTGCAATCCATCAGCCGGTCTGTATCGATGGCATTGATAAACTGTTAATTACAAAATCAATGGCTATGAATTTTTCCTGCTGTCAGGGAGCTTTGGGGATGGCTGGGATGTGGGGTAAACCGCAGCCAGCAGGCTCCCAGGGGGCCATGGTGTGGGGTCACAGTCTGCCTCTGATGTGCTTGGGCACTTCTGCCCAGCGTCAGCCCCCTGAGCCACTGGAGCCACACCTGAGTCATCCCGTGCACTGAGCCTCAGCAGTGGCACCCATGGTCGCCCTGAGGGCTGCTGCTAGGACACCTCAATGGTCTCCTGGCACCCATCCCTCCTCCAGCCAACACATTTTCTCTATGATGCCTGGGTGATCTTTCTCCCTCAAGGCTGAGGCAGGTCACTCCCGCACAACCCTTCCTGCCTCCCTGTACTGACCCCATCACAATCCAATCCCTTCACAGCCCTTGAGCTTCTGGTCTGACCCCAGCCTGCTTTTCTAGCCTCTCCCTGAAACTGGCCTGTTCTTTCCCCATTTCCTGCCTGGAGCTGATGGCCCCACTACAGAAGTTTACACTCCCTCTTCCCATCCTACCGAACCGTCTCTTGCTTTAAGACCCCACTCAGAGTCTACCTCCCCAGCTGAAAACAATTTACTCTTCCCTCCTTGAGCCCTTTACATGATCCTCTCTCATGTCAGGAATCACTGGCTCTTTCTGCCACATCCAGGCTCATGTCTTATCTCCCTTGGAAGCAGGAGCTACATCCAACTGGCTCCTCTTCCCCAGGCCACCCACTATACCCCACAGAGCCCAACAGAAACACAATGAGCTAGGAGGGATCTGTGCCAAGCACGGTGGCCACAGCCTTATGTGCGTCACTGCACATTCTTCACAATGAGCTGCTGTTCTCCCTATTTCACAGATGAGGAAACTGAGACTCACAAAGGTCAGGTTGCCAGACACTCAGCCAGCAGGTGGCAGAGGCAGGATTTGAACCCAGGTCTCACTGACCCTGAAGTACACGCTTTAAACCCAGCCTGCTCAAAGCATGGTACACAGACTGGTTCCTGCCTGCCCTCTGGAGGTTACTGGTCTGTGATAAGAAACTGAGAGTAAGCATTTAGAAACTTTATAGCACTTTGGAAGGATGATTTATATTTATGTCTGTTATATATAAAAATTTAAAAATTTGGCTCATGTTTTGTACATCTGGTTTTTAATTTCATTTTTTTAATAATTTATTTTTGTTGTATTTTACAAAATGATCTGTCCGTAATGGATTGAACATTTTGAAACATTTAAAAATGGGTCCTTCATCACAGGTACTTTGGCAAGCACTCCTTTAAATCATTACTTTATTTTATTTATTTATTTATTTCTGAGAAAGGGTCTCACTCTGTTGCCTAGGCTGGAAAACCATTACTTAAAAAAAAAAAAAAAAAAAGACTAGCCAGCCTGCTTTCTGAGCATCTACTTGATAGCAAGAGGGCCTCATGCTCAACCCCTCCGTGCTGGGAAGGAAGCATTCCCCTCATCAAGGACTGCGGCTCTCTGGAATAAGCAACGTGTGTTCCCTCTTGGGGGTCAGCCAAGGCCCTGAACATCACAAACTCCTCCTCCACCTCCAGCTTCTTATCCTGTGCACCAACTGCAGGATGGCTCTCTACATGTTGCTGGGGCAAGAAGTCCGGAGACCTGAAACCTCATACCATGCGACAAAGTGCACTCAGGCAAAGTCTGATGTCAACAGAAGTTCTGTTGATGCCAACAGAAGTTCGATATGGATTCATATTGACAAACCTCCACGGGTCCTCAGGTGGGGGTGTGTGTGTATGTCTATATACACATGGATGTGGCTGCATATGTGGGTATGTGCATGCACATATGTGTGTTCACATGTGTGTGTATGTGTGGGTGTGTATGTATGTGCATGTGTTTGTATGTATACATGTGCATGTGTGTATGTGTGCGGGTCCATGTGAGATCAAGGGAAGAGCAGCTGAAAGCTGGTGTGGTGTGGTCCGGTACTGAGGACCAAGTAAGAGTGGAGGAGACACTACCTCTTTACTCTCCTCTCCCAACACAGGCAAGATTGAGCTCTGTGTCTGGTGTAAGTTAGGAGAGCCCAGAATAGAGGGCTTGACCTCCAAGGCCTGGCCAGCCTTCCTGCACCTGGCTTTGTGCACCTGGCTTCCTCTGCTTTAACTGCTTTTGCTCCTCCTCCACCTGACAGAACCTCGAAGCCCTCTGCAATGCCTGGTTCAAATGCTCCCCTCTGTGTAGGTGAAGCACAGGGCCTTGATGCTATTTTGTATGATACGTCATTGTAGAAACATGTCATTATGCATTTGTCAAAACCTATAGAACAATACAACACAGTCGGCCGGGTGCAGTGACTCACGCCCGCAATCCCAGCACTGTGAGAGGCTGAGGTGGGTGGATCACCTGAGGTCGGGAGTTTGAGACCAGCCTGGCCAACATGGTGAAACCATGTCTCTACTAAAAATACAAAAATTAGCCGGGCGTGGTGGCAGGCGCCTGTAATCCCAGCTACTAAGGAGGCTGAGGCAAGAGAATCGCTTGAACCCAGGAGGCGGAGGTTGCAGTGGGCCGAGATTGCACCACTGCATTCCAGCCTGGGCAACAAGAGCAAAATTCTGTCTCAAAAAAAAAAAAAAAAGTTATTCTGTAAATCTAAAACTATACTTTAAAAAAACAGCATTAGGATTCTCTAACAAAGAATGCACTACAATTTTGGAATTCAATGTGTAAATATTCTCTGTGGACGTATGTAAAATTTTTAATATTATTTTGCATTCATTTATTGTTAATAAAAGATTTGAACTAAAAAAGTGGCATCCTTTTCTGTGTTAGATCAGGTTCCCTGGGAGCAGAGCCTGAGGCAAGGGTTTAGGTACAGACATTTACGGGGGGCATGTGTTCAGGAGAAAGGAAGTGGGGAGGCAGGAAGCACAGGGAAGGAGAAAGCAAGGCAAAGATGGGACCTCGGCTTCAGCCTGATCCCATGCAGGGCTCTGATCCGAACTTTTGTACCCATGTGGGTCCACCATTGCCTGGTGGTGCCAAGGAAAGGGCCACATAACCCTCTGGGCAAGGCAGAGGAGGGTAGGCCCTGCAAAGGGGTACCTCTGAACTGTTAGCAGCTAGGGGATGGATGCACTAACCCAGTAAAAGGGATCCAAGTGGGTCATCAACAGCACCCCCTGCATGCACCATGAAGCCATGTGCTAGGGCAACCAACTGTCCCAGTTTGCCAGGGACTGACGAGTTTCCTGGGATATGGGACTTTCAGTAAAAGCAGGACAGTATTGAGCAAACCAGTTGGTTACCCTGTGTGTACTGTCTGCATCTGGGAGCCAGTTCTCCCTTTTCCATATGCTAATAACACTTTGTATCCTCTATCATTAATAGTAATGATAATAATTAATATTTATTGAACATTTCCTCTAGGCCAGGCACCAGGCTGAGTGCTTTATTGTCAGTCAATCTTTAATACTCACAAAAGCACTTGGGGCTGGGCGTGGTGGCTCACACCTGTAATCCCCTCACTTTGGGATGCCAAGGCGGGTGGATCACTTGAGGCCAGGAGTTTGAGACCAGCCTGGGCAACATAGCGAAACCCCGTCTCTACTAAAAATACAAAAATTAGCTGAGTGTGGCGGTGCACGCATGTAGTCCCAGCTACTCGGAAGGCTGAGACACGAGAATCGCTTGAACCCGGGAGGCAGAGGTTGCAGTGAGCCGAGATTGCATCGCTGCACGCCAGCCCAGGCCACAGAGTGAGACTCTGTCTCAAAAAAAAATAAAATAAAATAAAGTGCTTGGAAGAGGTGCTCAGAATATCCCCACTGAACACACAAGGACACTGAGTTACCCAAGGTCATACTGCTAGGAAGTGTCAGAGATAGAATTTGAACTTGGGTCTATCTGACCCAGACCTGGGCAGTTAACTCTGCCACACACTGCTCTGCAACAGAATTATGTGTGTGATTCCTGGCATGTGTTCTCTTTAGGGAGGGTACCCTGTATTTATCCTTCTCCTGCAGCCCCCTGGCACCCAGCACCATTCCCTGAATAGTGTGGAAGCTCTCTAAGTGTGGATGTTGGTTACATTCAAGTTCACTTACTGGCATTACCCAACGCCTGCCTCTCTCCTCAGATAATCTAGCCAGAAGTTGGTGGATGCTAATGAAATGGAGTGAGTCCTCCTTTGTAACTCCAGCTTAAACCACTCAGTTGGGAAGGTTTTATCCTCCTGTGTTCAAGAAATTTGACTGAAAGATTCAAGGAGTGGGTATAGGTTCAGGTTGATTTTGGAATCAGAGGACCTTGGTTTGACTCTTAACTCTGACACTTTTTAACTGTGTGACCCTGGGTGATTTTCTTTACTTTTTCAGGTCTCAGTTTCCACATCTGTAAAATGGGGTTGCAACAATAAGAATTTTACTCTTGGGTTGTTTGTAAGAATTCAATAAACTCCTAGCTAATTTAATAAGTTGACGCTGAGCGTGGTGGCTCATACCTGTAGTGCCAACACTTTGGGAGGCTGAGGTGAGAGGATTGCTTGAGCCCAGGAGTTTGGGACCAACCTGGGCAACATAGTGAGACCCTATCTCCATAAAAAATAGAAATAAGAATTGGCCGGAATAATGGCACATGCCTGTAGTTCCAGCTACTCAGGAGGCTGAGGTGGGAGGATGGCTTGAGCCCAAAAGTTTGAGACTGCAGTGAGCTAGGATCAAGCCACAGCACTCCTACCTGGGCGACAGAACAAGACCCCGTCTATAATAAACAAATAAATAAATAATTGAGTGCTTTTTATGTGCCAAGCATGTTGCAAGCAATATAATTATGTATAAAGAAATCCTGTCAATAGCCTTGTAGAGTAGGGACTGTTTGGCTGCCCTCCTTTTACTGATGAAGAAACTGAGGCACAGAGTGAAGCAACTTGCCCAGTTGGTAGACGTGGGATTTGCTCCTTAGCAATGTGGCCTCAGAACCCATGTCCTTAGCCAGTGTGCCAGTCTGGATGTCTGAGGCTTAGGAAATGCTCAGCCAGTGTCAGCCTTCATCACCAGCTTTTTATCTGCAGGCCACCCCTTGGACAATCTTCAGTAATAAAAAGTTTCAGTGTTTTCCTTTCATCTCTATCCATGGCAGCCAGCCCTGCCCACAGGCCCCAGGGATGGGCTCATTAGGCCCATGCAGAGCCCTAGAAGCTCCCCTTCCAGGCCCCGCCGCCGCCCTTACCGGAGTTGGCGAGGGCCAGGGCCTTGAGCGTCACAAACTCCTCCTTCTCCACCTTGAGCTTCTTGTACCTGCGTACCAGCTGCAGGATGGCCCGGTAGAGCTCCAGCAGCCCCGCGAGGCGGGAGTGCTCCTCATCCATGATGTAGTCCTCAGCGTACACCAGCTTGTCGTCATAGGGCAGCGAGCGGTACACGATGCCCAGGATGAGGATTTCCATCCAGGCACTCTGCAGCAGGCTCATCTGGTCCCCCAGGGAGAGGCTTGAGAAGCCTGCAGGAAGAGGGGGCACAGAGGGCAGCAGCAGGTCAGGAGGGCGGACCAGGGGCCTCCCTGGGGCTCGCTGGGGGCAGAGGTTGCAGGGCGTGGCTGGTTGCGGGGTGTCCCTGGCACCCCTGGATCCTGCCCCCAGGCTTTCCCTGTGTAGCGTAAGACTCACTGTCCTCCCCTTGGGGAATGCCTCAGACTTGGAATTCACGGAAAAGACTTACAAAATGAGAGCTCAGTCAATGTTGACAGTTGTTGTTATCATTATGATTGTTAGCTCTATGGTATTTTCCAAACGTCTGTAGAGGCTTTTTGTTTAATTCAATGCATTTGTAGTTAAAGGAGTGACTGAGTACATACTGGAACCAGGAGGCAGCAGTACGTGCTCTCGGCCACTCTGGGGAGTTTCCAGGGCCCACTCTCTGCTCAAACCAGGGGAGGCTTTGGTATTTGAAAATGACACCTGATCCTTGATGCAGTCTCAGCTGTGCAGAGACCCACGGGCCTGACCAAGAACGAGGACGCAGCTGTTCAAAGCCACAGGGGAAGGCCCCAGTGACCATAGCCTGGGGCTGCTAAGAGATCAAGAGCCCCCGGGGTCAGGGGCACTTTCTCACAGGACAGCCTGCTCTCCCAGGGTCGGAGCCCCTCTTCCCGGGCCATAACTCTCTGCTTAACGATGACCCAGCAGGCCTGTTCCGGGAGCTTGGAATCATGCTAGTTCCCCCCTCCCTGCTATTTGAGGAGGCTGATTCCACAGTGAAAATAAAGTTGGGCATGGAGAAGGCTCCAGAACTGTGACACTGTCTTGCCCAGTGAACTGTGGGGATTGCCTGGGTTGAACCCTGACTCCCGCTTACTAGCTGTAGGCTGAACTTGTGAAAACCATGCAACTTCTCCAAACCTTAGCTTCCTCATCTAGGAAATAGTATAATAGTAGGGTCTACTTCAGAGAGTTGCTGTGAGGTCTAAATGAGACGATGATTCCAGAATATACAAAGTATTTACTGAGCTATTATTACTAATGATGAGATGAAAGTTCTCACTGCAGAACAATGATAATGTACTGGAATTGCATTATACATGCACTTAAATTAGGCAAAGTCAATTAACATCTTGATTTATAGGAGAGTAAGAGAGAGTAAGTAAATAAATAAGTCAGCTGATTTTCAAGCATCTTAACCACCAAACACAAGGCAGTAACTTCACTGGAGATTCAAACAGAAACTCAGTGATTGGTTCTAACACGGACATGCTGGATTTATTCAAAGAAGGAAGGGCATCCACAAAGTTGTTTGCACCATGCACTATGGGTAACTGACATGAAGGGATTTTTTTCAGGGGTAATTTTGCCTAGGAAGGACTTTCTACTTCATTTGCTGACTTAGACCCCATCCTTGGCTGGAAGCCACTTTCTGATGTGGGGTGCTGTGGGGGCGAAAAGAGAAGATGCATGTACAGTGCTGGGCACCTCTCCCGGCGCCATCAGCACTCAACATGCTAGGGTGCTGGTCATGGCTGTGGCTGTTGTTACTAAATATTGTTGTTGTTGTTGGCACACCATTGGCATCACTCACTTCTCCTCTCTGGACTTGCCTGGAGGCCTGGGTGGTCCTGAGCTTCTGGACCACCCAGCTCTTTGGCTTGTGTGGTCTCCCCCATCCATCTGCTGTCCTGTCTCCAAATGCCACTTCTTCCCTGGCTTCCACACAGGGCATGGCAGTTGAACCTTAGGGGTCACTCCTGGAGCTGAAGGTCCCTGACCAGGCAGACCACCCTTACCCTGTGAGCATTCTCCAAGTGAATTATCACAGTTCCCAAGACTGATCTATACAACTTGGGCCTCAGATCACCACTGGCTAATGGAATCCATGGGTGATCAACAAAAGAGCAGGAGTGATTACACCGACTGACACGGGGGAGCTTTGATTGATGCACCTTCTCAGGGGAGAGGCTGTGACAGGGGATCAGGGTGTGTGTGTGTGTGTGTGTGTGTGTGTGTGTGTGGTTGTCCAGATTCCCTGCATGGGAGAGGGTGTGTGGCTGCCTGTGGTGGCCGGGGGAGCTGGGAGGTAATAAAAGATAGATAGAAATGGACATCCAATTTCCCTTATCAGGTCTTTGAGTAGGAGAGAGGCCTTGGGCAACATTAATTAACAGATACCAATCAGCCAGCACCGGAGAGTGTGTTGGGGGGAGTGTTGGACAGCTCTAGGGAGGGGGTCTAAAAGCAGACAGACTGGAGGGGAGATGGAGGAGGAGGGCAGGGGTGAAATTAGCAGACAACTGAATTGGAAGGTGGTGGAGAGAGAGGATGAGGTAAGGACTAGGCTTCTGGAAACGCAGGGGAAAAGTCCCCTGTGCAGTGAATCCTGCAGGTACAATCATTAGGATGTTACTAGAATGCTTTTCTGCCCTTTGAGACATTCAGCAAAAACTTACAGAGCACCTACTAAGTGCCAGGCCTGTGCTAGGCACCGGGGACAGAATGGTGTGCTCAGTCCAGAACTGCTCCCTGCCTTCAACGGTTTACAGTGAAGGGGAAGACACACACCAAGGGGCACAAGTCAGCACAAAGTTGCAATATAAGAAGAGCTACAGCAAATGCAGGGCCCTGAGAGCACGCACTGGGGAAGGTGGGCCAAACAAGAGTCTGGGGAGGCTTTGTGGAAGGGGAGCCTTGAGGGCTGAGCTGTCAAGCAGGGTGGTGAGGGCACCTTTGATGAGGCACATGCCCAGGTGCCCCTGGATGGCCCATCCCAGCTCTGAGTTCCCAGGGTGCACAGACACTGAGCTGTTCCTTCCCCACCCCCACGACTGGGCACAGCAAAGAAGCTGCCCGACAAAACTTTGCAGCTAAAAGGAGAGAGAGAATGGACAAATGCCACAGGCTTTGACTCCCAGGAGACAAGAAAATGTGCCCACAGTACTTGGTTAGACCCTCTAAGATCTTTGGACTCAGGTTCAGGGTTAGCTGCCTTTGCCTATCTTGTAGGAGTCAGGCCCTGCCCTTGGGTGGTGGGAGGGAGACTGGACTTGGAAAGTTTTGTGCTGCCATGGGAGGATGTACCCGGGAGGCCTGTTCCCAAACCTCTGATAGGCTGCTTCGAGTTCTGGACTCAGCCCCTGATCACTCTCTTCCTCCCTGAACATTTTCAAAAAGCCCTGAAAATAGCTTTGATAATCCAAAGGTATACTCCAAGGCGCTGAATTGGTGATACAGCCTTCTTCATTTTGTGCAAGGAAGGGAGGGGGAGATATTTGACATCTTTTAACATCTGAATCTTTTCTAGTATTTGCAAAAAGAAACACCAGAAGGAAAATTGAGAAAGAAAAAGTGGTGACTTTTAGGAGGTCGGAATGGGAGGGGACAGGGATAGAGGTGAGACTTCTGTTACATACATTTGTGTCTACATTTGGCTTCTGAACCCAGTCAGTGCTTAAGATGCTTAAAAATAAAAGTAAGTCATAAATATAATTAAATTAAAAATAAAATAAAAGGCATGCTCCCTTCAACCTAGCAATTCTACTGCTAGAAATTTCTCCTAGTGGCCAGGCACGGTGGCTCACGCCTGTAATCCCAGAACTTTGGGGGCTGAGGTGGGAGGATCACATGAGCCCAGGAGTGTAATGCCAGCCTGGGCAACATGGCAAAACACCATCTCTACAAATAATTTAAAAATTAGCCGGACATGGTGGTGCATGCCTGTGATCTCTGCTACTTGGGAGGCTACAGCAGGAGGATCGCTTGAACCCAGGTGGTCAAAGCTCCAGTGAGCCAAGATCATGCCACTGCATTCCAGCCTGGGTGACAAAGCGAGATCCTGGCTCAAAAAGAAAAAAAAAGAAATTTATCCTAGAAAGAAAAGTATGAATAAAGACATAGAGATAAATGTAAAAGGGTATTAGATCACTGCTTGAAATGATTCAAAATAGAAAAAAAAAAAGGTAACTAATGTAATACATGTGATTATTACATAGATGTAATTTTTAGTTAAATGAATGTGCCAAATAAGTTAGAACTCTGTGTGGACGTGGAAAGACAGCCAAGGGGGCAAAAAGGGTGTAATCGTATGAGCACAGAGATCAGCTTCCTAACTCTGCTGTTCACTAGCTGTGACCCTGGCAAGTCTGCCTCTCAGTGCCTCGGTTTCCTCTTCTGTAAAATGGAAATCATAACAGCACTCACCTCATGGGGTTGTTCAGATTACATGAGCTGACATGTGGAACACTTAGAACCCTGCTTTGCCAGGTAAGTGCTACTATTTTGTATAATTAAATGGAAAAAGCAGGTGTAAAGCAGTGTTATGGTATAAGCCCATGGACTGGGGGACATACACAACCCCCACCCACACACACACCTCACACAGTGGTTGTATCTGCCCAGGAAATTCCCAGAAGGAAGGTTAGGATGGGGAATTTGGAACTCTTAATTTCGACCCATCTGTCCCATCTGATATCTTTACTAAAACCACAGATTCTTTTATTTAAAACCCAGAAGGAGCCCAGGCACTCCTCCCTGCCCTTCAGTAAAGCGCTTCCACCCCTGCCTCTCTCAGCTGGGCTGGGTCTCATTCTCAAGTTATTAGTAACTCTGGGACCAAGAGGCCCCTGAAGAGGCTACCGGGAGGGTCTGGGGGTGCCCCGTGCCCCTGGGAGTGCAGGGGTGTCCCTGTGCCGGGCTCACTGCAGGCAGCACTGCCTCATCAAGGCTCTCGGGCCTGCCCAGAGCTTCTGGCTCCTCATGCTCCCACTTGGAGCTCTGCTGCCCCAGGAAAATTGTTTTATCTGCACCAACTCATCTAATAACATTCAGGCTCTCCCCAAGCTCCCCATCCCCCCATCCGTGATTTGGCACCACAAGCTCCTAGAATTGAAGGGGGAAAAAAAAAAAGCACGTAATTTGTGGCAAGTGGAGTTCATAATCTGTTAATTTATGATCGTTTCTGTCGACCTGGAGGGCCATTAGCAGAGGTAATAAAGGGAGATGTAATTATAGGATCTGGGGCCACTTCAGACACAGCTGCTGTCACTCGGCAGCTCATATTTCATTGAGTCAGATGGGGGCTACCTGGGAGCAGTGCCGCTGAGGGACTTTTGTGAGGAGGCCTCTGGGGATGCCCTGCACATGGGAGCCTGGGCAGGGCAGGGTGGTGGAAACTCCCTGGGCAGGCTTTCCTGGCTGGCACAGGCATGAGGCTGCCGAGGGAGGCAGGATGGCAGGCTCGGGTCATTTGGAGGAGGCTGCAATTCATCAAGTGATTCCCCACTGCCTATTAAAGTCAGCTAGCTCTTGATCTCATGGAATAAGAAATGGACACTCTGAAGACTTGGGCTTGCCCTATGGGGAACCCAATACTTGGAACATTCAACTCAAGGTAAAAAACCTGCATTTGGGGTAGGACAATGTCAGACTGACTTGAACAATGGCTGGGATTCTGAGTGAACCAAGCTCCCCCTGGATGTCAGCCTTGTTCCAAATGGGATCCTTGGGGCAAAATAAATTCCTTGTCTCAGCCACAACTCCTATCAGGGGACCTCATGTGTAGTGACTTCTCAATATGTGCATGCAAAGCTAAGTGTGCAATGCCCTCTCGTGAGATGCGGTACCTTGCGTTTAAGGACACTGGCCTAAATTCTTCAGAGCTCTACTCCTGAGCAGCCTGCAGTGGCCAGTCCCCCTCTTTCTGTCTGTGCAGGAACTAGATGGACTGGAGCCAACACAGGCCCCAGGGTGGGCCCCAGCTTTTATCCTCCCTACTCAACCAGCTCTCTCTCTCTCTCTCTTTCTTTCTCTCTCTCTCTCTCTCTCTCTCTCTCTCTCTCAGGGATAGGGAGCCCATCTTCAGATGCATTTTCCATCTAATCTGAGATGGGATTAAGTTGATTAGTTTAAAAATATCAGGCACCTGGCCAGGCACGGTGGCTCACGCCTATAATCCCAGCACTTTGGGAGGCTGAGGTGGGTGGATCCCTTGAGGTCAGGAGTTTGAGACCAGCCTGGCCAACATGGTGAAACCCCATCTTTACTAAAGATAGAAAAAAAAATTAGCCAGGGGTGGTGGCACGTGCCTGTAGTCCCAGCTACTTGGGAGGCTGAGGCAAGAGAATCGCTTGAACCTGGGAGGAGATTGCAGTGAGCCGAGATCGCACCACTGCACTCCAGCCTAGGCAAGAGAGCGGAGACTCCATCTCAAAAAAAAAAAAAAAAAAAAAAAATCAGGCATTTGATTGTGTCATTGCCCTTAGTATGAGTTTACATGCAGTGGCAGGAGACTCCACTAATTAATTTTACCTTAAACACTGGAAGGTCAGGAGGCAAAGAATTCAGCATGCAGATTTATGCAAAATAGGCAAATTAGCATTTAAGATGGACAACTGAGCCCGTTTTTATTTTATTTTATTTTTTTACCAAAAAGAATCCGGCTTTGGACAAGGATAAATGAAGCCATGAAAGGAGGCTTTTATTACTATTAGCAACTACAACAGCGCTGGTAAGCGTCTCTGCCATTCACCCGGTGTACACACTAAGCGCGCTACATCCTCACAGCAATCCCGTGAAGGGGCTCTATCGTGATTCCCATTTTACAGACAAGGACACTGAAGCTCCGAAAAATTCAGTATCTTGCATAAGGCCAGTAAGGACAGAGCTGAGATGAAAGCCCAGGCTGCCTGATTCCAAAGTCTATGCCTTTAGCACTCACTCTGCTCTAGCCATGCCCTCTTGGTTGGTCACAGATGGGAGATGGAGCTGGGAGGTGGAAAGGCACAGAGAAAAATGAGTGCAGGGGAGACAGGGTCTCCTGGTCTTATCTACTTCCTCCGTGGTGTTGCAGGGGTGGGGTTGTGGAAGAAGGAAGCATTGACCCAGGGGACCACCAGGCGCCACTCGTGAGCCATTGCTAGGATGCAGGATCTGTTCAACCTGGAACAGGAGTGTGGGGCGGGGGCAGGGGTACCTGTACCCAATTTGGCCCTGGGTTAGTGGAGCAATCCAGGCTGAAGTGTCTTAAGCAGTGGCCTGACCCCACATCTGTGCTGAACCAGCACTGGGCAGATTCAAAAACTACTGAGTGTGTAATCCCCGAGAGGTTGAGCTCCTTAGTAAGGGCGTACCAGCCCAGATCCCTGGTCAGAATGCCCAGGGGCCACCAGGCAGTCCCTGCCAGCAGAGCCTCTGGGCCATCTGATGTCTCTGTGCGTCCCTGTCCACAGGAAGGCTCCTTCCTGCAACTTGGGCATGTAAGGTCTCACATGGAAGGACATTTTTTATTCTCTCAATCAACTGTGGGCCTTGGGCCAGACATGGTGGCTCTTGCCTATAATCCCAGCACTTTGGGAGGCTGAGGTGCGCAAATCACTTGAGGGCAGGAGTTCGAGACCAGCTTGGCCAACATGGCAAAACCCCGTCTCTACTAAAAATACAAAAAAATTAGCTGGGTGTGGTGGCAGGCACCTGTAATCCCAGCTACTGGGGAGGCTGAGGCCCGAGAATCACTTGAACCTGGGGGGCGAAGGTTGCAGTGAGCCGAGATCGCGCCATTACACTCCAGCCTGGGTAACAGAGCAAGACTCTGTCTCAAAAAACAAACAAACAAACAACTGTGGGTCTTGGTATCTAAAGTCTAGGTCACCTTTGCTGTATCGTCTGCTGTAATCACCTTTCAGAGCCATGACAAACCAAAAACGGATCTACAGACAGGAAGCTGACTTGTCCCATGTTCATGGTGGGTCATTACCAGAAGGATAAAAGGATGTTTCTACCACACTCTGAGTCAACTTATTAGAGTCTTAAAGGAGTTGAGGAATAAATTGCACAGAGAAAGGCCCCCAATGTGTATGTAATGTAGAATACATGGGTGTTGGTGTCTACAAAAATAAAAAAGCTCCCGCCATCTGCCCAGACCTAGAGAGGGTGAAAGCAGGGTTTGGGTCCACACACAGCGAAGAGAAGTCCACACAGCCTGAAACATGGAACACACACTTTCCGCACCAGAAAGGCCCTTAAAATCTCAGAAGCCAATCCAGAGACAGGCCTCCCTTAGAGATCAGGCGAATGGCAATAGTGGGCATGCAACTGATGCCAGCACATGCCAGACACTGTGCCGAACACTTCACACACAGGATCTCATTTCATGCTCACATCAAAGCTCACAAAGTGGGGGACTCTTGTATTCCCATTTGACAGAGAGGTCAGGTGGCCTACCTAGGGTTACTCAGCTAGTAAGCTGCAGACCCAGAATTGGAATCCCGATCTGATTCCCAAGGCCATGCTCTTCACTGCTCCATTCTGCTGCCTCCAATAGGAAGAGAGGGTCAGTCTTTCTTCTGTTGTTTTCTGGCATCCTTCCAATAAGGTCTACAAGAAAACCCTACTCTTTGCCCTTTAAGGGCTCAAGGAACTTGTTCTTTGAATATTACACTGATTGTAGATCCAAACATGGCCCCGCCTCGAATGATAACTAATTCTGAAGAGCCTGCAGCAGTGTATAAGCCTCACTGGGTCTTCTAACTACCTGTTCCTCTCCAATGCTACAAGGAGAGAAGAGGAGCTCAGAGAAACAGGCCTGCCAGGATTTCACAGGCCTTCTGGGGTCCAGGATCCGGGCATCAGAAGCACAGCCATTGGGTAGGCTGCGGAGATACCGGCTGAGAGTCCCTGGCCACACTCTCCCCTGGTCCCACATGCTCACCTGGGATGTGCTTGGCCCAGCCAATGATGACCACAAGCTCTCGGTCTGCCAGGTCACAGAGAGTGGTCAGGGCCTTGATGTCCCCCTCAGGCATACCAGGGGGAGGCATGGCATAGAGCTTGTCCGGCTCAGCCACCAGTAGGTATGAGACAATCTTGGTCACTGCAACAACCAAAGAGGGAAAGGTAAATGCTGGGAAAAGAGGAAAGGGGCCGGGGTGGAGGCTCAGATGGGTCAGGAAGCAAAGTTGGGTTCCTAAGAGCTCCAGGAAGGTCAAAGCGGCTATAATCTCCCCTCCTGTTCTGGCTCCATGAAGTTGCTGGTAGTGGTGATCTGGGCTGTTGAGAAATATCCCTCCAAGGGAAGTTGCCTGACGAATTCTCCAGGAGGAACCTGCAGAGCAACTTTGGGTGGGTGGCAAGGGGAGCATGTTCTGGACATTGGGGCCCGTGGCTTGTCAGGACCATGCTTCATTTGGAGCCACATTCTAAATGTGCCAGGCACTGATGTCACCTCCCCAAGATCCACATTGTCTCATGACCCAGTGGTGGGAAGATGATGTTTCCCTAAGGGATGCCTGATGTTCCAGGTACAGATGCTGGCAAAAGGGGCAGGGACTGCCCTGACACTCACATGGCTTTTTAGCAGGTGGAGAAATTTGTAAGCTCAGGTATGGGCTGCTCTCTGAGTCCAGCCGTCGCTTGTATTTCTGACGGCCTCCACGCACTCGATCAAGGCGCACACCTATTGGGGAGGAAAGGGAAAAGATCTCAGCAGTTGTTCAACATCACCAGGGTAGAAGCACTGACTTTGGAATTTCAGCACTGGCTGGGTCCTTCAGGGCCTTGCTCGGATGACCTTCGACAGCTGCCCCACGGCCAGCCTCAGGCCAGGTGGCTGGACAATCCTAAAATAATTGTCTAACAGTAATGGCGCATCCCGTTGCCCCAGGCCTGGTCCTGTCTCTCTGGATTCAGCATCCTTCTGAAATTCATCCCAAGCAACCCTCAGCCCTTGGTTCTCCTTATGTCAACAAAGGCACTCTACCAAGTGTTGGCGGAAGAAGTCACATTATGTTAGATCTGCTTTGAATCCAGGGAGGGTTAACTTGCCAACAAAAGAAAGGAATCCCGGTCATTCACAGGCACTTCAAGGGTTTTCAGACTTTTCACACAAGAAGCATCTGAGGAGGCGCTCATTACAAATGTCAATTTCTAGACCCCACTCTCTGAGGTTCTAGCATAAAGCTCTAGAGTCTGTCTTTACACAAGTCCCCAGGGGATGGGAATGCAACAGTTGGGCTGGCCACCTCTGGACTGGAAAATCAGTGCCTGGAAATATCTTGAAAGTAGGTTCAAAAGCAGCTGTGGCTACTCCACGTAGACAGCCACTTCCAGGAGTGAGAGTTTACCCTGGAGAGATCTGTCATTGTCACTGAATCCAACTTGCCTTCCGGAAGCCTGCCTCACCCACAGCTCCTGCTGCCTGGACAGACACATTGGTACCATTTCATGCCCCCCACCAGCAGATCGAAGGCACAGGGCCTCAGGTGGACACACAGCTCAGACTGGCTACCCACTGATGTGGCCTGGCCTGCAAGGATGAATCCCAACAAATTGGTTACAAAGTATGAACCAACACAAAAAGCACCAGAGAGCAGGTGCCCCAAGCATGGTGCTGGGGCCCTGTGGGGCCTGGAAGCCACTTCTGCCTTCTTGCTGTGGCTCTTCCAGGCCAGCCTCAGACAACGTTCCTTCTTGGAGTCCTTACCTTGAGCTCACTGAACAGCTCCCTTTTCCTGATCATGAAATGGGCCTTGACTGAAACACACAAGAAGTCAGACACGGAGACCAGAGTCCTCAGAGAAGAAAGCTGGGTTGCCACCTCAGCCTCTGCTGCGACAGGCCAGGTTCAACTTCTGTTCTTTTCCCCAAAGGCAGTGAGTATCACCCTCACAGAGCCCCAGTCAGTTGACCTTCAGGGCCCTTTCCCTTTTCTAATAAACTCTGGTACTTCCTAGATGGGGAGCAGAAGAAACAGAATCTTCCTTCCTGTCCCAGCCTTGTCCATCCTTCAGCCCCAGAGTGTTGGCTGCCAGTCCCCCGGATTCAGGCCTTTCTCCAGAACAGGCAAGGGGAAGTCAGAACAATGGTTACTTAATGGAATGATGATTTAGAGCCCATTCATGCCTGGGGCTATTTTCTGGCTGTTTCTTTGTTAGGATGTTCAGCTACTAAATTTCAGTCCCTGAGAAGAAGGAAGTTTCCTAGAGCAACTGAAAGCAAAATTACTTTGTTTACTGAATGAGTGGAGAAAACTCCTTTAAGTGCACATTGCCCTAAAGGAACTTTGGGATGCTAAGGACACTACCCCCCACCCCTCTGCTGCCCCAGGTGTTTTCAGTTCAGGACTCCAGCCCTGGAGGGCAAGGATGCTGTGAGTTCACTGAGTGAGCCCACAACTCCTCATTTTTGTCAGCAATGTCTTTTTCAACCCCACAACCTGGTGTATTTGTACCTGGTGCTAAACGTTTTTTAGTCGGGGAGAGGGGGAGTCTACTCAGCAGCCCACCCAGGCTTCCTGTTTAAAGGTAATTCCCCTGGTCAGGTGCGGTGGCTCACCCCTGTAATCCCAGCACTTTGGGAGGCCGTAGCCCTTGAGGTCAGGAGTTCAAGATCAGCCTAGCTACCATGGCGAAACCCCATCTCTACCAAAAATACAAAAATTAGCCAGGTGTGGTGGCACGTGCCTGTAATTCCAGCTACTCGGGTGGCTGAGGCACAAGGATCGCTTGAACCCAGGAGGTGGAGGTTGCAGTGAGCTGAGATTGCACCACTGCACTCCAGCCTGAGTAACAGAGTGAGACTCCATCTCAAAAGAAAATTTAAAAAATGTAATTCCCCTATTGGGAATACGGAAACTGTTGGAAGTCTGTGTCCCACCCCTCAATGGATATCTGAGAAGTACATGTTCTCCTTCTCTCTGCTCTCTGGAGGTCAAGGCATGGACCCGTGACACAGGCTCAGCCAAGTGCACCATCAAACGGAGGCACAAGGACAGAGCGAAGGTGAGGACTGATCAGACCAGCAGCGCCTCCCCAGCAGAGTGTAGGCAGCCCCTGGCCAGTATGTCCTGGCTACTGGGTTTCCTGCTCCTGGGCTCTCCAGGGATTCTCCTGGTTCTTGTCTGGTTTCTAAATGTACTCTTTGAACCTCCTGATAGGCTTCCAATAAACTCCCCTTCTGCCTAGAAGGTCAGGTTTTGTAACTGACATTTGTTGTTGACTTCTCCAGGAGCAGAATCTGAGACAAGGCTGTGCATGCGAGCAGTTTCCAAGGAGGGAAGAAAGCCAATAACAAATGTGTTCCTGAGGACAGTACTGCTGTGGGCAACTGAGGCTCCCAGCTACCGGCTGCTTTGGCGCTTCTTGCCTGCCTCCCAGGTCCAGGCTGAGCAGACTCTGGTGGCCAAAGAAAGCCTAGGCGTCAGATCAGCACACACACACACACGCACGCATGCACACGTACACACACACACACACAAACAGACAGTGCTGAGTAGGTGTGGGCAGGAGCAGTCTCCGCTGTCTTCCTCCTCAAGTGTGGTCTGCAGGCCAGCATCATCACCATCATTTGAGGCTTGTTAGATGCCTCAAAATCTCAGGCCTGGCCACAGAGGAATCAGACAAGGTGATTTGCACGGACAACAGAGTTTGAGGAGCACTGCACTAAGGCATCCTAGCAAACGCAGCTGTACCATCAACTTCTGCCTGTACCTTGGACCCTAAAGGGACAGCTAGATGCCATCCAGCTCCAGACCTGAACCTATGTGCTGCTAGCACTTTGGCTCACATTTGCTCCCTCACCCCCTGCAAGCCCCTTCAGTGACAGCATAAGGAGCAGACACAAACACAGGAAGGATGATTCTTCCTGTAAAAGTCTTTTGGGAAAAGTTCCCTGTCTAGAAAAGCTTTCTGACTCTATCCTGTGACATGTCTACATAGAAGCCTCCTCTGTTCACTATACCCAGGCCAAACCAAACCCTCCACCAAGTTCTGCTTCCCCTTGGAATGGTGACAGGACCGAAAGTGAAAACGGTCCACCTCATCCATAAGAGACAGTAAGGGCCCCCACTTACTGAGCACCTACTATATGCCAGGATCTTAAACATATACTCTCCTTGAGTCCAGGACAAGCCCCTTCCCCACTTTACTGACCTTCTCTCCTAGATACCACTGGAATGAACTCTCGCTTCCCATCCAGCCTGCTTCCCGGCAAGCAGCTGTCAATCAGAGTGAGGCATGCTCAACACAAAATAAAAAGAGGTGTCTGTCCCTCGGCAAGGCAAGGAGATGGGCAGCTGCCACCTCTGCCGATGTCTCCATCTGGGATGTTCTGTGTCCTGATATAGGGCCTGACCTTTCATGGATGTTCAGGAAAGACTTGATGAATACAGGGGTGGATGTACCTCTGTCCTCCTCATCCCCATGCCAGGCTGGGGGCTTCTTCATGGGCTCCCAGAGCACACTGGGCTTCCCCTACTGACTAGGCACCCGTTAAGGCCAGGGGCGGCTCACAGTCCTGCCCCAAAGTCTGTCATGGTACCCAAGATGCAGCATGTGCTTAGAAAATGGGATTATTATGGTTATTATCATCATCCTTATTATTACTGTTCCCCAGCATTGCATCCAAGTTTTTGGTAAATCACATGAATAATGATAATGATAACAGCATAATTTGTAAAGGACTCTCTGTATGTATTACCCTACTTAACCCACAAAAATATAAGGCAGGTGCTATTATCCTCATTTTACAAATAAGAAAAACTGAGGCTCAGAGAGATTCAGTGATTTCCCCAATAAAAGACCCAAGCTTTTTGCCATTCCATGGTATGACCTCCCAGCGCACAGCAAATGTTAAATTCTCCTCTAAATTTTCTCCTCCTGATCTTTACAGCATAGTGGTCAATGGCTCCAATCAATACGTGTATCAATTATCAGATTACGCTGTTAAAAAAACAGTAGCCTGTTGGGTTTAATTATGCACAAACTGACACCTGATGTGAAATGTGTCTGTTCCCCTTGCTTCCTGTCTGCTCTTCTGAGCCTGCCCTAAGCACAGCCCACAATCACTGCAGCCCATGGGCTCGATAATGAAGGTCCCATGCCCATCTCTGTCCCTTACGGGTTATTTCAGGTTATTTGGCCTTGGACAAGTGGGCTTCAGCTGCATCTTCAGGTCTGGGGAAGGAGGCGATGGTAAAACCAACTCTGCTCAAGGTAGATGGCTTTTGTGACAATTGTATGACTTAATGATGAGAAAATGCTTGGTAAGCTGGAAAGCAGTTCCAGTAGGCTGGGTGAGGCCATCTCTTCTACCACCCTCCTGCCAACCCATAGCACTTCAACATTCATCTGATACCTCACAGGCCACCTCATGCTGGTTTCCCTTTATACCCATCAGCTCTTCGATTCGATGGGTTCTTAGAGGACAGGACCCTGGCTTGCTCTATTTCTCCCCTGCTCTGGCACTGCCTCACACTCAGGACTTGCTAGGGCCATTTAGAGTGGGAGGGTCCTGTGACACAGACCTGTGCACCCCTAGCCTGGGGTTGGGGAAGATGGAACCCCACCAAAGTGAAGCGGCCTTCTCCTTTTTTTACTGTTTTTGAGACAGACTCTCACTCTGTGGCCCAGGCCGGACTGCAGTGGTGTGATCTCGGCTCACTGCAACCTCCGCCTCCCAGGTTCAAGCCATTCTCATGCCTCAGCCTCTCGAGTAGCTGGGACCACAGGTGCGTGCCACCACGGCAATGGGATGTCAGGTTAAGTCCATGGCAGGACTTCTGGAACGGTTTTGCTTTTCTGAGAAAAGGGACAGCCATGTTCAGTGCAGCTCTTTTGCCTTTCTCTTGCCCCAGCCTGGAAGGTGAAGCCTACAGGTGTGGCAACGACCTTGCAGCCATGACATGGCTGTCTGAGGACACCAAAGAACACCAGAGAAGAAAGAAAGAGCTGGAGCGCCCCTGCCGCCATGGCTGAGAACTTTGTGCAATACAGCAGCTGCGCATCTCCAGGCTTCTTGTAAGGTGGAAAAACCAACTTCATTTATCCATGCTTACGCTGCTAGCTATCAGGTTCTCCGTAACTTGCAGCAGAAAGCAATTTTCACTGACTGATACAATGGGCAATTACTTTTAAAATTAGGATGCTTAAGACTTACAAACACTAACTGGAAATAAACAAGAAGACTTGAACTTGAAATGAGAGTTGCCTTATTGTTTGTGTCCTTACATTAGTAAAATATCTAAAAGTAGACTCAGGAAACACATTAAAATACTAATTAACTTACAATTACTGTCTAGGATTATTAGATTTTATCATCTTATTGATAATTTTCTGAATGCAAAAAAGCATTAATAATGCTCAAATGTAAAGTGTCACATATTTCCAAATACTGCAATAAATACAGATCCTTTGTTTTAACCACCATTAACACCGTTTAATCCCTTAATGTGTACAGGTCAAAATTTTAATATTTCTGAGTGCTCCATGAATAGAAAAAAATTGATAATCCCTGGAATACATGACCCTGTGCAGACGGAGATCTTGAGTTGAGATCACACCATTTCACTCCAGCCTGGGCAACAGAGTGAGACTCCATCTAAAAAAAAAATTAATAAAAAAAAAAACCCACTTCACTCTTAAAGATTTTCTGCATCTTGACCATATCAATGTCAATTGACTGTATCAATGTCAATATCCTGGTTGTGATATTGTACTGTAGTTTTTTAAGATGTTACCATTAGGGGAAACTGGGTAAGCGATGCATGGCATCTCTCTGTATTATTTCTTACAACTGCATGTGAATCTGCAATTATCTCAAAATAAGAAGTTTAATTAAAAACTTAAAAAACAATGCTGCTGGAAAAGTAAAATGGTGTAACCATGTAGAACATAGTTTGATGGTTCCTCAAAAAGCTAGACAGAATTACCATATGATTCAGCAATCCCACTCTTAGGTATACACCCCCAAAAAAACTGAAAAGAGAAATCTGAACATACATCTGTGTAGTGTGGGGAAAAGAAGCAAATTTTTAAAAAATAAAAAGAAGGAATTTGAACAGACGCCTGTAGGACAATGTTCACTGCAGCATAATCACAATGGCCAAAAGGTGGAAACAACCCAAGTGTCCGTGGATAGATGAGTGGAGAAGCAAATGTGGTATATACATGAAATGTTACTTAGTCATAGAAAGGAATAAAGTTCTGATATATGCTATAACATGAATGCACTTTAAAAACACTACGCTAAGGAAAATAAACCAAAAGGACACCAAAGGACAAATATTATGTGATTCCACTTTTTCTTTCTTTCTTTTTTTTTTTTTTCGAGGCAAGGTCTTCCTCTGTTGCCCAGGCTGCAGTGCAGTGAGTCCATCACAGCTCGCTGCAACCTCAAACTACTGGGCTCCAGTGATCCTCCTGCCTCAGCCTCTCCAGGAGCTGGGACTACAAGTGTACACCACCACACCCCATTTTTTTTTAAGAGACAGGGTCTCACTCTATAGGCCAGGCTGGCTCTCTGCATCCTTGACCTCCCAGCCTCAAGAGATCTTTCCACCTCAGCCTCCCACGTAGCTGGGACCATAGGCACATGCCATGACACCCAGATAATTTTTTAAAAATTTTTTTGCAAAGATGGGGGTCTCACTATGTTGCCCAGGCTGGTCTCGAACTCCTGACCTCAAGCGATCCTTCTGCCTCAGCCTCCCAAAGTGCTGGGATTACAGGTATGAACCACTGTGCCTGGCCCCCTCCTTTCTTTTTTTTTTTGGTAGATGGGGGATCTCACTATGTTGCCCAGGCTGGACTTGAACTCCTGGTCTGATGGTGATTACATAATGGTTTGTTTTGTTTTGTTTTGTTTTGTTTTGTTTTGTTTGAGACAGGGTCGCAGTTTGTCACCCAGGCTAGAGTGCAGTGGCACGATCCTGGACTCAAGTGATCCTCCTGCCTCGGCCTCCTGAATAGCCGGGATTATGGGTACATGCCACCACACCTGGCTAATTTTTGTATATTTTGTAGAGATAGGGTTTCACCATGTTGGCCAGGCTAGTCTCAAACTCCTGAGCTTAAGCAATCCACCCTCTTCAGCCTCCCGAAATACTGGGATTACAGGCATGAGCCACAGTACATGGCCGGTGATTGCATAATATTGTGAATGTGTTTGATGTCACTGAATTGTACACTTAATTTCTAAAATGCCAAGTTGTACTTGACGTATATTTTGCCACAATTTACAAATATAGGAATACAAAACGCTATCAAACTGTATACTTTAAATGGGTGAACTATATTTCAATAAAGCTGTTAAAATTTTTTAAAAATATGTATCCTTTCTCAGGTTAGTGGAATTAACAACATAAAATATTGAAACGTAACAGAGTGCTTGGTACACAGTAGGCACTCAGTAGTAACTTCTTGCCTTTCATCTGCCTGTTGAAGGTCATAGAGTCTGGCTTGAACTGCCTTCCTCATGGAAGAGAGAAACACATCCCCACAGTTGTAACTACTGTCAGTCAGATGTATTAAACAAAATCCCTGAAGAAATTAAGGTTCAGAGAGGTTAAATATTGTGCCCAGGGCACACAGCCCCAACACTGGGACTCTCTGGAATATGCCAGTGGGTCTGATGGCTGCCTTTGTCCAACTTGAGAACAGAGGTTCCACCCTTGGCTGCAGTCATAACTGCTCCCACCTCCACCGGCCTCGTCACCAGGCTGGTGCCCCTCGTGCCTGTGGGGGCCAAGCCCACTTCCCAGCTCAGGGCACAAAAAATAGCAAAGAAGCTTCGGGGCCACTCTGGGACAGAAACTCCTTGAGAGGAGGGGAGCGGGGCTCCCCCTCTGCTGGCCTCTCCAATCCACTGCAGGCACGTCACAGCGTCCACAGCCGGCACCTTACACATCCGGGATTGGATACCCACTTGCTGACTTGATAAGATCAGGTTTCTGACATTTTTCTTAATGGAAGTAAAATAATTCCTTCTTCCCTCCACCTCCCTCCTTTCTTCTCATCTTCCCTGCCTAAGCTGGACAAGATCCCAGTCTTTCGGAAGTAAAAATAGCCGAGTGTGCAGGGTCAGCCGCAGCGGGGCCACTTTAAGCTTCTTTCTTTTACACCCGGGCACTAAAAATAGCCGGCTAAAGCTCTGCAAAGCGTGGCCCTGCACCTGGCCCTAAGCCTGTCCCAGGCGCTTCCCACATCATATTTCTCTTCCAACAGGAAAGGTTCAGACAGGGCAGGCGAGGGAAAGGCCTCTGCCCTCCCATCAGCTACTATCCAGGTCTGAGGTCAAGATCCCCACTGGCATTGCAAGGTTTTCATGACCAACACCCTTCTCTTCCCCTTATCCAGAACTTTCCCCCATCACCAAATTCAACATCCCTGGTTTATTAACGAAATAAGCAGCTTCATGGTTTACAAATCTATTTCATACCCGTATCTCATTTAAGCTGCCCAACAATGTTGAGGAGGAAGAATATACATGATTATGATTAGTTCCATGCAAGATCTGAAGCTCAGAAAGGTCAGGCGACTCGTTCAGGATCACACATCCAAGAAACGTCACAGGGAAATTTTGAACCTTGATTTTCAGATCTCCAAGTCCTATCTTCTTTGCCCTAAACTTGTGACGCCAGTCCCATATAACCTCAGAATGCCCTAGGAAGCCTTTGAACGGCACAGACTTTGAGGACTTACTCATTTAGAGGCTCTGAGTCAGTAGGTCTAGGGAGATGTCGAGGAATGAGTATTTTTCCAAAGCTCCTCTACTAATTCTAATTATGTGCCAGGTCTGGGGAGCACTGTGCTAAACCCGTTTTTTCAATACTTTTATGTGGCCAGTGTTCTTCCCAGGAAACTTGGGGGTGAACTCCCTGCCTGTAGGTTCTACCAAACTATAGCTGACCCATCTCCAGGAGGAGGAGAAAACCACCCAGAAGGTGATGTGGGTATCATGAGCCCCTGAGGTTCTGGAAGTTGTGTGGGCATGCTGATGGGCATTCCAGCCCAGTGCAATGCCCTGAACTCTCAGCCACAACCCTTGTATACACTGGACTTCCTTCAGCCACCTGTCCTGTGCGGGTTTCTGGGTGACAGGCAAGCTTGCCTTGCTGCCTCAGACACAATGGCTCATTTGGGCTGCCTCTTACCCCAGTGACACACCGTAAAGGCAGAGTGCCTCACACCTGACTTCCTAAAAGCTAAGAGAGAGAGCCTTGTAGCTAAACAGACATACATGACACCTAATATTCCAGGGCTTTTGCCAGCTGCTCTGTGGGCTCCGGGCACTGTGGTGGATAAGTGTTAGTGAGTGATGAGCTCTCAGAATTCTGCCTATTAAAGGAGTGTCTGCTATCATGCTGGGCTCCTCTAGACACTTCTTACCATGCCACCATGTCCCCAAGGGCATTTTGACAAAACTGTGTTACGCCTGCATTCCCAACTGCCAAGAAGTCTCCAAAACTGTACGCCTGACACAGAGAAGTTATTTCAGCCCAGCTTCCCTTTCCGTTCCTTTCTTTTTTCCCCTTTGAGAAAGGGCTACAGGCTTCACTACTGGCCAAGGCATCAACCGTGAGGTTCGAATAGGCTTCTTAGAAGGAATTCCACATAGCCAAGGAGACTAGATTCCACCCAGCTCTGTCATTAACTAGCTGTCTGGCCTTGGTCAAATCGCTGAAACTCAGTTGACCAGATCAGGCATGGCAAAGACTTATCACCTGTGCCCCTGCCTTCCATTTCTTAGTCTGTGGCAGACATTGCTAATCAATCATGGCACTCTTACCTGCTGATCCCAGACACTGCCTAAGAAGCCTTTCAATCATGCACTCCAGCTGAGTGCAACTAAAGGCAACTTGCCATCCTGGAGCCTGAATTAAGAACAACTGTGTTAGAGGCAGCCAGTGCAAACACGTCTGCAAATAAATAAATAAATAAGATAATGTCAGACTGAAAGAAGTTCAATGAAGAAGCATACAAGGGGATATGACAGCAAGTAATAGAGTGGATAGGGAGGCCTTTCTGAGAAGATAACATTTAACTTGAGGTCGGAAGGATAAGAAGGAGCCAGCTTTGGGGAGAGGATTCCAGGCAGAGGGAAGGCCCTGAAAGTCCTAAGATGGGAAACAGTTTGTCATGCTTGAGGGTCAAAAATAAGCCAGGGAGGCTGGAGCAGAGTGGGTAGGAGTGAACAGACAGGAAAGGAATGGTATGAGATGATACTGAAGAGGTAGGGAGTGGGTAGACCATGCAAGGTCTTGAAGACCAAAGCAAAGTGTTTGGATTGTATTTTAAGTGCTATGGAGAGCCACTGAGTGATGTAAAGCAAAATGACAGAATCTTACCAGTGCTTTAACAAGATCACTGCTAGGGGGATTAAACAGGACTAAGAGTGGAATCAGAAGTCCAGTTAGGAAACTGCCACAGTGGTCCAGGAAAAAACAATGCTTCCTTGGACCAGGGTCATGACCATGGAGATGAAGAAAAGTAGGAGAATCTGAAATACATTTTGGACATTGACCTGGGAGGAGTCAAGGATGACCTCCAGGTTTCTTTTGAGCAATAGGTGACTAGCATCACCATTCCTGAGATGGGAAAGACTGGAAGCAATAGAAGGAGGAATGGTTCAAACCTAGAGTTCCTCTCTAGACATGTTTAATCTGTGATGTCTCATAAAGGACACAAGTGGCAATGCCAATAGTGTGGTTAGATATTCAGGTCTAAAATATCTAGGGAAGAATTTGGGAGGCTGAAGCAGGAGGGTTGCTTTATGCCAGGGGTTCGAGACCAGCCTGGGCAATATAAGCAAGACCTTTGTCTCTACAAAAAAAATTTTTTAAATTAGCCCCACATGTTGGCACATGCCTGTAGACCAGCTACTTAGGAGGCTGAGGTGGGGAGGATCTCTTGAGCCCAATAGTTTGAGGTTACAGTGAGCTATGATCATGTCACTGCACTCCAGCCTGGGCCACAGAGCAATACCTTGTCTCTTTAAAAACAGCAACAATAACAAAATCCCCACAAAAAAACAATACTTGTATTTGAAAATATGTCATTCCCTTTTTCCATACCAACAACGTTTTAGCTGGGTACACAGCGTCCCAGATAATGGCTACAATTCCAAGACTCCCTGGCAGAAAAGTGTGGCCCTGGGCTGTGAGTGGGAAGAACAGATGTGTGCTACTTAGGGTCCAGCCCTTCACATGGAGCTTTTCCTCCTTCTAGATGTCTGTGAGATGGGAAGAACTGGGGTCCACAAGGGCAAGCCACATGCTAAGCTTGGCAGAGCTGCCAGCCAGTCTGGGATTGCCTGTGACCTTCTGACTGTTATGTAAGAAATGAGCGGGAATGAAACTGCTATCCTGCTTAGGCTTCTGGGTGGTTTTGGGGTTTGGTTTGGTTTGTGGAGGGAAAAAGGGAGTCTCCTTCTTTTAGAAGCCTAGCGTGGCCTGGAGCAGTAGCTCATGCCTATAATCCCAACACTTTGGGAGGCCAAGGCAGGTGGATCACCTGAGGTCAGGAGTTCAAGACTAGCCTGGGCCAACATGGTGAAACCCCATCTCTACTAAAATTACAAAAAATTAACCAGGCGTGGTGATGCATGCCTGTAATAGCAGCTACTCAGGAGGCTGAGGCAGGAGAATCTCTTGAACCTGGGAGGCAGGGGTTGCAGTGAGCCAAGATTGTGCCATTGCACTCCAGCCTGGGTGACAGAGCAAGACTCTGTCTCAAAAAAAAAAAAAAAAAAAAAGAAAAAAAAAAAAAACAACAAAAAACACAGCCTAGTCTTTACCTAATGTACTATATTATAAGTGTATTTCTGGATCTATTCAATGTTTACTTTTTAAAGAAGTTTTTTTAAAGAAAGGGGTGAATGGGACAAGAAAATGAACATAGCAAGTGCTGTCAATTCCTTTAGGAGGTTTTGTTGAGAAAGACAGTGGGATCAGGTAGCAATATCTAGATGGAGATGAAGGGACAAAATATAGTTGTGGATTTTTTTAAATTTAATTTTGTTTTTGGCTGGGCGTGGTGACCCACCCCTGTCATCCCAGCATTTTGAGGGGCTAAGGTGGGTTGATTGCTTGAGCCCAAGAGTTTGAGACCAGCCTGTCTCTTTTTTTAATGTGAAAAAAAATTTTTTTAACATTTTTTAAAAGTTAAAAAATAAATTTAATTTTGTCTTCATAATGGGAGAACAGAAGTGTACTTGTGTGCTAATGAAATGATCCAGTAGTGAGAGAGAATTCGATGATGCTGGAAGCAGAGAAGATACTATAGGAATGAAGTCCTTGGTAAGGGGTTGGGCATGGTAGCTCACTCCTGCAATCCCAGCACTTGGGGAGGCTGAGGCGGGCAGATCATTTGAGGTCAGGAGTTCACGAACAGCCTGACCAACATGGTGAAACCCTGTCTCTACTAAAAATACAAAAACTTAGCTGGGCATGGTGGCGCATGCCTATAATCTCAGCTACTTGGGAAGTTGAGGCAGGAGAATCGCTTGAACCTGGGAGGCAGAGGTTGCAGTGAACAGAGATGGCACCACTGCAGTCCAGCCAGGGCAACAGAGCGAGACTCCATCTCAGAAAAAAAAATAAATAAAGGAATGAAGTCCTTGGTAAAGAAGAGAGCGATTCAGAGCACAGAAGGGCAGGAGGGGGACCAGCGTTTGTCAGGATTGGGAATACCTCTATTCTACCAAGAAGAAGGCAGAAAACAGGTGCACAAACTGGTAGGTTTGTGGATTCAATGGTAGGAGGGTAAGATGTGTCCCATTTGACTTTCTATTTTTTCATGAAAATGTGAAGCAAGATTACAAGAGTAGGGAGTGAGGCTACAGGAGATTCAAAATTGCCTCTGGATCACAGAAGAATATCCATTTTGTACATGAAGAATATCTATCTCCAATCAACAATCAGACTTCACAGTATAACTCTAGGAGCTTTCCCTGAAGATTGGGAGCAAGATGAAGATAGGCACTATTATGATTCCCATTTTATGGAGGAGGAAAGGGAGGCTTACAGGGGTTTAAGTAACTGGCCCAAGGAGTCGATAAGTGGTGAAGATGAGGTTTAACCAGGCCTACGTGACCACCGTACCGTTATCCAAAAGCCTGCAGGGAACAGTAAGAACGATTTAGCACAGACAAGATCATCTCCTTCGTCTTCATTCAATCAACACTTCTCCAACCAGAGGTCATTGTGGCTGAGTGGCCCAAAGGCTTCAGGGTGCCTGGGAAGATCCTGTGAGCTGTCAGGTATGTGTGTGTGTGCGTGTTTGGGGGGTGGTGGTGTTGGGGGGGGGGCAGTGTGTGTAGAATGTAAAGTGGCTCGAAAGGGATGCAACACACATTGGCATTCTCAGGCTGTAGCTCAATACCATTCTATAAAGTGGTAAAGAGTTGGTTTGTTTCAAAACACTAATATATTTTGGAAAAGAAAAAGAATTTTTAAAGGCAAGTCATCTCTCTTGCTCTTTCTTCATTCACAGGGCCAGAAAAAAAGTGATATTTCTGGCATGGGCTAGAGGCAGAATACTCTATAAATACAAGGCCATTAAATCCCATGCAGTGGGAACCTGATCAGGGCCTCCTTTTAATTTCCTGACATGAGCTGGCCACTAACACAATTACCCAGAATCCCCGGAGGAGCCCTCCACCTTCCCAACAAGCACAAAGCAAGTGAGAGCATATTGCATGGATGTCGGCCCAGCTTTCACTGAAATCAAATATCTTTTAGAAAACACTTGGGGAAAGGCAGGCAGGGGCTGAGTGGGGGAGAAATGGAGCGGGCTTGGGAGGCCGGTCGCGTGAGGGAGGTGAGGTGAGGAGGAGGTGAAGTTGGCGGGGACAGGCTGTCTAGAGAGAATTGCTGATATCCCAGAGCTGTACTGAGGCCTCGGGGAGCCCCTTAGGAAATGCAGCTAGTGGTTTTCCAGAGTCAGTCCACACCCTAGCCAGGCTGCAAAGGCTGACTACCAGGGGAGCTGCCCATCCTGATTCTAGAACCCACAGTGGGGACCAGCCCAAGACAAGGCCGTCTTTTAAGATTCCCACCAACAAATCTAGGAAGAAAATCAGGGTGGCCAGACACCAGTCTGCCTCCCCAAACACAAGGGGCAGACTGATGAAAAGCTGAGTGTAAATGAGGTTGTCTTTGAATCAAACACTAGAATTTTTTTTTTTTTTTTTTTTTTGAGACAGAGGCTTGCACTGTCGCCCAGGCTGGAATGCAGTGACACAATCTCAGCTCACTGCAACCTCTGCCTCCTGGGTTCAAGCAATGCTCCTGCCTCAGTTTCCAGAGTAGCTGGGATTACATGCGCGTGCCACCACGCCCAGCTAATTTTTGTATTTTTAGTAGAGAAGGCATTTTACCATGTTGGCCAGGCTGGTCTCGAACTCCTGACCTCAGGTGATCTGCCCACCTTGGCCTCCCCAAGTGCTGGGATTACAGGCATGAGCCACCGCACCCAGCCTGAATCCAACACTGGAGTATTTTAACGCATCAAGGGAGCTGACATTGCAAAGCAATCCCATAGTGGATTCTGCCAAGAGGAGCTGTCCCATCTGTCCCAGGTCCCCACTTTGACCTGGTGAAGGAAAGCAGGTATCAACATCCCCGTTTTACAGTGAAGAAATGGAAGCAGGTGGGCGTGAGTAATAATATTAAACAGCAGCTGGGGGCAGTGGCTCACGCCTGTAATCCCAGCACTTTGGGAGGCTGAGGCGGGCAGATCACAAGGTTGAGACTGAGACCATCCTGGCCAACATGGTGAAACCCCATCTCTACTAAAAATACAAAAATTAGCTGGGCGTGGTGTTGCACACTTGTAGTCTCAGCTACCCAGGAGACTGAAGCAGGAGAATTGCTTGAACCCGGGAGGTGGAGGGTGTGGTGAGCCTAGATCGCGCCACTGCACTCCAGCCTGGCGACAGAGTGAGGCTTTTTTTTGTCTTTCTCAAAAGAAAAAAAAAAAATTACACGGGCAAAAATACCTAATAACCAGGGGCAGAACACAGGCCATCAACTCCTAACCCAGATTTTGTGTTCAGTTTTTAAAAGAGAAAAATTACCTTTTCTCTGAAAATACAGATTTTTATGTACTAGATTTGCTTAAAGCAAGATAGGCCTTTGGACAGCTCCTGTTTTCCATGGTCTGCTCTGGATGTTCCAGGGAGAAAGTCACAGGGACGTGGCCATAGGATCTGTCCCCAGCCACGTGAGGAATCTGAAAAGCTTAGATCCCTGAGCTGGCCACAGTCTTAAGAGAGAGGGAGAGCCAGAGGAAGCCCCAAGTCTGATTTCTTCTGTGGCTGTTGCTGGGCCCCCAAACTGGGAAACGATCTCTGATTATTTTACCTAAGAAAGGAAAAATCATAAAACACAAGGAGAATGTGGCTGGATGAGGGCGGGAGGGTGGTGTTCAGACGTGCAGGCGAGGGGAGCAGAGAGGGCGGAGGCACCCACATCTCTCCGTCTGCAGCCCTCCCCAAGCCCCTGGACCCCCAAAGCCCCCCAAGCAACAGAGGCCCACTATGGGACCCTAAAGCGGAGAGCAGCCCTGGGGAAGGTGAAGTTTGCCTTTTAGAGTCCCGTCAGAGTCTGAGGTGGGCGATGAGCCCACGCTGGTCTTGGGGGGCCTGGGCCTTGCCTGCAGAGCCAGGAGGGACACCCAAACAAAAGCCAAGCCAGGCAGCTGCCAAGAGCCCCCACCTGGCAGGGGCCCAGGCTGTTGAAGGAGGATGCTCCTCCCAAGGGGGTCGGTCCCCACGGAGCTTCAGATCCCAGGATCTCTCCAAGGCCCTGCAGGGGACAGAAACTAAACGTGGCTCCCTGCTTTGTCCGTACTCAGGAGCCTTTGTGTCATCTCCCCGCTCTTGGATCTGGACCTGCCAGCACTGGCGGGGAGTGGGGGAGGGAGCGTTCTAGTGGCTGTCCCTTCCTCCTTCAGGCAGAACTCCTTAAAGGGCCTTTTCGAGCCGAGCATGTCTGCCTGGGAGGCCCCAGCTGCCACCCTGGGTAAAGACCATCAACCAAAGGGCTATATTTGCAGCGGGGCAGGGGTGTCAACACTGAGGCTTCCCCTGAACATCCTCCCCACTTGAGGCAGCAGGGGTCTCATGCCCCTGTCCTCCCAGCACCCCCGATACCATCATCCTGGGACACACAGTGTCCACCTCGTTTCTCTGACAAGTGCCAGTCTGGATGTCTGAGTGGCCACCGGTCAATTGTGGGCCTCACCACCTCCCTCCCTGCCATCAGTGCACCCCTTCACCATCTCCTGCTTTCTGGGAAGCCACTAGAAAGTGCCCTTCTCTCTTCCCAGCACTGCATAGCCCCTAAAGAGACTCTGCTCAGTGTTACAAGATGGTCCAGGAATTGAGTGGGAGGTTCCCTCTCGACCTCCCCCATCCCTGTGCTGTGCCATGGGGAGCAGGCACTGAACAGGGCAAGGAAAGTTCCAGCCTCTGGGCCCAGCTCCCCTCAGATGAATGTGTGACTGAGGGTAGGAGTCATCTCACCCCAGCCCCTGTAGGGCTCCATTTTGTCACCTGTAAAATTCAGGGCTATATTGAAAACAATGAGGCTTCTGGCTGCTCTAAGTGCCGCGGATACTGTCAAGTAGGCAGGGAGGCTGCACGCTGTGACCAAGTGGCCCCTGGCCCCCTGCTTGACCTGCTGTTCTCACATCCAGCTCTGTATGTGAGAACAACAGGTCAAGCAGCTCTGTCTCTTGGGCTTAAGAGGAATGAATGAGTCTCCAAAGCTTAGAAACCCTCAGATTCCCAGCACCACACGGAGAGAAAGTCAAGAGACCAGCACTCAGGCATGCTTCTATGGGCCTTTTGCCTCAATTTTCCCATCTGTGAATACCAGGAGGCTCTGAAGGAGCAGAAAGGGCCCAACATAGGAGTCAGGGGACCCAGTTCAGCCACTAGTTTGGGTCATCCTATCCAGGAGCAAGACCAAAATTATATAGAGTCAAAAATGAACCAACAGACAGCCTTTCTGCGGGCTCGATGTAGCCCATTTTTAATCTGGAAAGGAGACTGTTTTTTCGGTTGAGCCCCTAACGAAGCAGCTGGCCTGTCTAAGAGCTGAGTGGTCCACTCCATCACAAAGGGGTTAAATGAAGCCCCGAATGAGGAGCATTTTAAAAGCCAGTGTGCCATGTCGACACAAAGGCCGCCGAGGGCCTGCTTCAAGAGCTTCTGTTTTATGGATACAGGTGCTGGGCTGAGCTGAGGTGAAGTGGGGGACCTGGAAATGGTAAACGGAAGTGGAAGGTCCAATTTCTATAGCACATGATGGTCCAAGTTGTATTGACAAAGCGTCTTAGGTCTGGGCCCTTATCTTCAGAGGGCCCTGGGAGAGGGGGTAGCAGGAGTGCCCTGGGGCTCCCAAGGCTGGGCTGGGCTTCCAGAAGCCCACTCCTAGCCTTCCCCCTCCAGGAAGGGTCTGGATTCCAAACCTGTCCCTTCGTTCTCTCTGTAGCCCCTTCTGATCACCCCCACACACCTCTTTTCCTGTTTCCTCCCACTTCTAGAAGGATTCCAGGCCCGGAGCTTAAAAGTTGATCTCTAAGAATTTTCACTGGCTCCCCTTGGAAGCTGGAGAAGCAGGGAAACACATACACTCACGACCCATCCCCAAAATGGTACTGAACAAGGTTCCTCAAACTGAAAACATCGGCTGGGCATAGTGGCTCATGCCTGTAATCCCAGCACTTTAGGAGGCTGAGGTGGGAGGACTGCCTGAGCCCAGGAGTTGGAGACCAACCTGAGCAACATGGCAAGACCTTGCCTCTATCAATAATATTTTAATATAAAAAAAGGAGCAAATCAGTAGAGAAAGTGAGGAAGAGGAGACCTGGAGCAGTTGTCCCAATGAGAGCTACGTGTCATTTCAAATTTTCTAGTAGTCACATTAACGAATAGATAAAAAGAGGCCGGGTGCGGTGGCTTACACCTGTAATCCCAGCACTTTGGGAGGCTGAGACGGGCAGATCACGAGGTCAGGAAATCGAGACCATCCTGGCTAACACCGTGAAACCCCGTCTCTACTAAAAATACAAAAAAATTAGCCGGGCGAGGTGGCGGGCGCCTGTAGTCCCAGCTACTCGGGAGGCTGAGGCATGAGAATGGCGTGAACCCAGGAGGCAGAGCTTGCAGTGAGCCGAGATTGCGCCACTGCACTCCAGCCTGGGTGACAGAGCAAGACTCCGTCTCCAAAAAAAAAAAAAAAAAACAAAGAAGCATGTGATGCTAATTTCACAATATGTTTTATTTAACATGTCCAGAAGATTAGCCTTTCTGCATGCAATCACATTTTTAAAAGGATCACCACCAGACTTTACACTGCCTTTTATGGTCCTATTAAGTCCTCTAAAGCAGGCATGTGTTGTACACTCAGCACACCTCTGTTTGGACCAGCACTCGGGAGCCACGTGTGGCTGGTGGTTGCCATATTAGACAGCACAGCTCTAGAGACAGAGGACGCAGGGAGAGAAAGGAGAGGGAAGGGAGAGGATGGGAAGAGAGGGAACAAGGAAGGGAGCAGCATTCCCAAGGCAAGAGCCATGTCCTGTCCACCCACCAGAAAACAAATGCCATTCTTCACAGGTGAAGGGAACATTATTTATCATTCCCGGACTTAATGTGTCTGTCCTTTTCACCCCCAAGCCCTTGAGGGTGCTAGGTGATATAACAGCCTCTTAAGCCTACCCCTCCTAGGGTAGACGTGGGATTTGCCCCTAAAGGAGGGCCTTCCCAGAGTGCCAGGCCCACTGGGGCCCAAGTGGGGTCAGGGGTTCGGAAGGATCCTTAATGAAGAAATTCCAATTCCCACCTCCCTAAAGGAGGAGAGCCATGCGGGCGCCGTGGCAGGCTGGCAGGGTGTGGGAGGAGATGGGCGCTCAGACTGGGTCTCACCCTGGGACACAGGTCCACAGCTTGTGGGTGTCTCACAGGGGACAAAAACTCCCCAGCAAGCAGAGCCTCACAGTGAACCCCGACTCGGTGGGGTCTCTTACCTTCCTTCAGCATCCCCACTTTGAGGCATTTCATGAAGCGGCAGGCCTGGCAGGACTTGCGCCTCCGTTTGGTGATCTCGCACTCGTTGGTGGCCGGGCAGCTGTACTCAATGTTCCCTGCAACCAGACACAGAGAGGGTTGCCGGGTGCTGGCCGCCCAGGGCCCCCACCTGCCAGCGCAGGGCTGGCTGGATGGGGATTTTAATTTGCCAGAGCTGCCACTCCCCCCTAGTGTTCTCAAAGCAGGTGCTCTGAGGTGCTTGTCAGAACATTTTGAACTCTTCCATATGGAGACTCCAGGTGGCAGGTCTGGGTGGACCAGGCAGCTACTTGGGGAAACACTCTCCAGAGGATGGCCACCCACAGTGTTGAAGCCACTTCTGGGCAGGGACATCAAAACTCACTAAGCTGGCCTTTTACTCCAGGAGGAGAACGCCCCCTATGCTGACCAGAACATTAGTGCAGACCACCACTACCACCACCACCACCACCACCACCACAGGCTCCTCCAGCCTCCAGCCTGGGACCCCAACATGTGGGAAAAGCCTCCTGGAAACTCTGCGTCCACCAGGATCAAGGCCCGGGTTCTGCATCCCACTGGAGGGGCCCAGGCCACCTGGCTTTGCTAACCTTGAGGATATACTTTCCTCTGACCAAGTTGAAATTTCTTCATCTTCAAAACAGTGAGATAATCTACTAAATGAAGAATTAACCAAGACCACATATGGACAACTGCTTTAAACACTATTCAATGCGAGGGGGTCATTTTATGAGCAGAGTTCATTCAGCGGAGGGAATCTGTGATAAATTTTTCAGGCCACTCCTTTCATGGGTTATAAGAATGGCTACCAGGCCGGGTACAGTGGCTCATGCCTGTAATCCCAGCACTTTGGGAAGCCGAGGTTGGTGGATCACCTGAGGTCAGGAGTTCGAGACCAGCCTGACCAATATGGTGAAATGCCGTCTCTACTAAAAATACAAAAAAATTAGCCAGGTGTGGTGGCATGTGCCTGTAATCCCAGCTACTCGGGAGGCTGAGATAGGAGAATTGCTTGAACCCGGGAGGTAGAGGTTGCAGTGAGCCGAGATCACGCCACTTCACTCCAGCATGGGTGACAGACCGAGACTCTGTCTCAAACAAAACAAAACAAAACAAAACAAAACAAAACAAAACAAAACAAAAGAATGGCTACCATAAACCCAACCCATGCTCTTTTAAGCTGTAGGCCCCACGAAGCCAAGACCTTGGGCTGCTCCCCAGTGTCCAGCAGCACTTAGCACAGCCCCCGCAATATAGAGACAGGCAGGTAGAATGCAGTGAATGACTGATCTACAGAGTCCCTCCCCTCCCAATAGCAATTCCATGAAAGAGAAAATAAGTACTAATACTATTCCCATTTTACAGATGAGTTTTCCAAGTGTTTCTATGCAGTGTGAACACAGAGGTCTTATTTAGGTTGAACTGACCTTCCAGCGCTCTTCCTGGGAGGGTTGACAGTCCAGTCAGGAGAGGCTGTGACTGCCTTTCTAATACAGGCATCTGACCTGCTGACTCTTATTAACGAATACGCATTGAGCACCTACAATGTGCCTGGTAATGGAGGGAAAGACGATGGGGGGAGAGCAGGTGGGGGAGGTAAAGAAATGCAATTGGAGTGGCCGGGCGCAGTGGCTCATGCCTGTAATCCAGCACTTTGGGAGGCAGAGGTAGGTGGATCACCTGAGGTATGGAGTTCGAGACCAGCCTGGCCAATACGGTGAAACCCTGTCTCTACTAAAAATACAAAAAAAAATTAGTTGGGCATAGGGGTGGGCACCTATAATCACAGCTACTCGGAAGGCTGAGGCAGGAGAATCACTTGAACCCATGAGGCGGAGGTTGCAGTGAGCCGAGATTGCGCCATTGCACTCCAGCCTGGGTGACAAGAGCAAAACTCCGTCTCAAAAAAAAATGTAACTGGAACGTACAAATGAAGAACAGCACATCACAGTACTGTTTTGGTATTGTGTCTCTTCGACTCCTGTCCCAAAGTGCTTGAGGTCAGCCTGAGCCAGGGTTTTCCAGAACAGAATCTCTCAACTAGAACACATCTCTCGTTCCAGCCCCACCTCCTGAGGGAGCAGGGAGGAGCTGGAGGCTTGCCTATCTGAATCCTCCACACCAAACCCTACCCACTTCAGAGGAATAGCAGCTAAGATTTATTGTGCACCTACTGTGTGCATAGTCTGCACAGCTCCCTCAGTCCTCACAACAGCCTCTGAAGGCACATCAGTGTCCCATTTCATAGACCAAGAAACTGAGGCTCTGGGAGCTGAAGCAGGTTACCCAAGGCCACACAGATCTCCTGTCCCACCCTGTATCTCACAAGGAGGATGGGGAAATTGGAAGTGCTGCCCCACTGAGGACAGGTGCCTGGTGCTGACCCAGCGGCTGAGGTCGCCTGGTGGGTAGTAGGGGAGAAGGGTGGCCTTGGGCTTCCCTGTGTCACCACCTCCCCACATGGGATATGGATGGAAACCTTTTCTATTGGATTTTCTGGAAACAAGCATGAACCATGTTCTACCATTAACAAAGTGCTTTGAGGTAGCAAAATTACTCAATGTGCCTAACTGTATTGAGTACTCACAAAGGCTCAGAGAGTATTCTCATCCCTTTTTACTGGTGAAGAAAACTATTTCCGGAGCACCTCAGAGATCTACAGGTGAAGGCTAGCTATCCTCCCTCCCTCTCTCCCCATCTCCCTCTCTCCCCCTCTCCCTCTCTCTCCCTGTCTCAAGTCCAGCAGGCACCACCTTTCTCCCCATCCCATTTCTTGCAGGGAGGGAGCTGGAGGTCATGCTCTGTGCTGGAGGATGGAAGGCGATGGGAAGGGGAAGGGATGAAGATTCTGTGTACCCCTACCTGCTTTTGTCTAGCCCTATTTCTTAGAGCATTCTGGCTTGGGTGGTTTCTTGGGGAATAATTTCAATATTCATGTAAGCCCGGTAAAATTCAAAAGACAAACAGAAAGGAGAAAAACACATATGAAAGCTAATTCATTCAAGCTTTTATCTTGGCTTAGAAGGCGCTGGAGGATTTGGCCCGTTCCCACCCAGGCCCACCCTCTCTCTGCAGCCTCAGCGTGCTGATTCCCTCCATTCGCTCTGCATAACTATCACTTTCTGGAACTCCATGGTCTCCTAGGTCGCCAGGCCTTTGCTTTGCAGCTTAGAACAGACTCTCTATGCTCCCTCCACCCTCTGTTTCTCCAGGTCCCACATGGGGAGGCGCTCCTTCTCCCTGCTGATAACCCATTAATGTCCCCTGTGTTGTATCTGTCTGCCTCCTCCACCTACTCCAGCTCCTCTCTAGTCCCACTGCCTGGGACACCCAGCCGCTCAATGCGCACACACGGGGAGCTCACACTGGCGAATGCTTGTCAGGGAGCAGCCACAGCTCTGCTTTACAGATCCCAAGGATTTCATGTTCCCAGCAACCCCGGAGGTAAACAGATTTTTCTCATCTGTAAGATAGAGGGGCTGGGTGTGGTGGCTCACGCCTGTAATCCCAGCACTTTGGGAGGCCCAGGCAGTCAGATCATCTGAGGTCAGGAGTTCAAGACCAGCCTGGCCAACATGGTGAAACCCTGTCTCTACTAAAAATACAAAACTTAGCCAGGTGTGGTGGTGCACACCTGTAGTCCCAGCTAGTCGGGAGGCTGAGGCAGAAGGATTGCTTGAACCCAGGAGCCAGAGGGAGCAGTGAGCCGAGATCGCGCCACTGCACTCCAGCCTGGGTGACAGAGCGAGACTCTGTCTCAAAAAAAAAAAAAAAAAAAAAAGGAGAGGGTGAACAGAATCCAGGGTATGGGACAGTAAGGACTGGGACCCAGCCCGTCAGCTCCAGCCTGCTCTGAGCCACTGTGCCAGGAGCTCACAGGGCTCTCCATGGGCTTCACACCTCCAGCTGCCTGGGACACCCTTTGCACACTCTTCACTTTTCCCATGCTTTGCTCTCAGCTGCTCAGCCAACCTGTCACTTTTTGAGGAAGGATAAGGCCACAGGCTGCTGCTCAGAGCAAGGAGTCAGGAAGTGTGTGTGCAGAGCTGGAACTGGTGCTCTCCCAGGACAAGAGGACCAAGTGCTAACAGCAAGTCCCCAACCAGGCTCTTCACCCTTTAGGGGTTGGCCTGCATGCATGTGTGTGTGTTTGTGTGTGTGTGTGTGTGTGTGTGTGTGTGTGTGTGTGTGTGTGTCAGAGAGAGAGACCTAATTATTTGTTTATTTTGGTTCCTTTCAATTTATTTTATGGCCCCAGCGGCTAGCTGCCAGCAAAGCCAGGCTGGCGGCCTTGCTTTGTAATTTTTTTAAGTGCCTCCTCGATAAAGTGATGAGATTAATTCATCAGAATTCCTGTGGTCTCTTGAGGCGGGCCTAGGAGCGTGTAGGAACAGGGATAGGACATTGGCAGCACACACACGTGCAGCTGAGGTGTGGCAGTTTTGGGGATGAGTTCTCTCAGGACAGGGACATGGCCAATGGTTAGCATAAATTCCAGGTTCTAACCTGGGAGTGTATTCAGTATAGACAGGTGCAGACTCCACTTTGGGCACATCACCTAACTTCTCTGAGCCTCAGTTTCCTAATCTGTAAAATGGGTACAGCCCCCATCTCATAAAGTTCTTATCTAAAAGTTCCCCAGATTCAGGCCAGGCGCAGTGGCTCACACTTCTAATCCCATCACTTTGGGTGGCCGAGGCAGTAGGATCACTTGAGGTCAGGAGTTTGAGACCAGTGTGGCCAACATGGTGAAACCCCGTCTCTACCAACAATATAAAAAAATTAGCCAGGCATGGTGGTGGGCATCTGTAATCTTAGCTATTCGGAAGGCTGAGGCAGGAGAATCGCTTAAACCCAGAAGGCAGAGGTTGCAGAGATCATGCCACTGCACTCCAGCCTGGGTGACAGAGCAAGATTCCGTCTCAAAAATAAATACATAAAAAATAAAAGTTCCCTAGATTCAGTGACAGAAAGCATACAAAGGTCTTAGTGAAGTGCAGGCACTGGCAAACAGGCCACCACGGCTGCTCTGCTTATTTTTATATTCAGGCAGATCTTACAGTAGGAGTGTCCAATCTTTTGGCTTCCCTGGGCCACATTGAAGAAGAATTGTCTTGGGCCATGCATAAAATATACTAACGATAACTGATGAGAAAAAAAAAAAAAAACTCATCCTGCTACAAGAAAGTTTATGAATTTGTGTTGGGCCGCATTCAAAGCCATCCTGGGCCACAGGTTGGACAAGATTGTCTTACAGGGTAGATACAACCAAAGGATTCCAGGATAAGTCTTTTCTAGGTGTTGGATCCGAGGCTAGCCACCAACTGTGATATTTGAGAACATTAAGGTCTGCCTCCGGTCCCTAGACCTCAGAGTGGATGCTGCCGGTGCCTGTGGGAAGGAGGCAGGCACTGGTAGAACCTGACCTGGACTTCTCCGTGACCTTAAGGCAGAGGGGTAACCACCACCATCAGCTCTCTTTGATCCTGTGCTTCCCGGAGAGAAGGAAATCCCAGGGTCATCCCCATCAGCTGTTCATGAACAGCTGCAGAGAGCAGGGCAGCCCTGCCACAGGCTCAGGAAGGGGGTTGCTAAGCTCGGACAAATAGCTCTCGGGGACCTGTGGGCTCAGAGGCTGCTGGCTAATGACAGAGCTCAAATGGTACCACTCTATTCAGCTGGTGTGAAAGGGCTGGGGTGATGGTCACTCAGTTCCACTCCCTTATTTACACACCTCTGGAGACAGGGACCATCCCTTTCATCTCTGCGTTGCCCAGGGCCCTCTGCTCTCCCGATCCTCCCCCTCACCCATGAGCTGGATGATCTCATTCATGCCACTGGCTTCCACTATCACGAAATTGGCAATGATCTGCAGCCAGTGCTCATGCCCTTATAGCTATCTGCCTGCTGATGTGTCTACCTGGAGGTCCCCTGGGCCCTCACCTTTCTCAAACTGAACCCATCCTCATCCAGCCTGTTCCTCTTACTGTATCCCTTGTCTCATCAAAGGGACGACTAGCCACCTGCAACCTGTCAGAAATGAAGGGGCCTCCTGGATTTTTCCATATCTACCCCTAAGATCCTTTTCATCCTACTTCCTGATACCTGCTCCCTCCCTCCCTTCTGCAACAGTCCTAGTTCCACACTCATCACCCCTTGCGACCATGGTCCTGCACTAGCCTGTCTCCATTTCCCTTTCCAATCTATCCTCCACACTGCCCCCTGGAGGTCAGTTAATAACTTTCCCAGACAAGTTTATGGGTTCTCTGGCCCATCATGGCACATGGAGCACACCTGTCTATGCGTCATCCCAAAAATCCAATAACTGGCAGGATGGGAGTGGGAACTGTCTCAGAGAATGAGGAAAGTAGAAACCTAGGTAGCTAAAGCAAGGGATCCAGATAAGAAATAAGCTAGCCACACTGCAGAACCTCAGAAAGTGTCAGGCATTGAAGACTCAAGATATAGCAGCAGCAGGAGCTACAAGACAAAGCAGCAATGGTGTCCAAATCCTGATGGACAATTCTTTTCTTTTCTTTCTTTTGTGTGTGTGTGTGTGTGTGTGTGTGTGTGTGTGTGTGTGCGAGTTTCGCTCTTGTTGCCCAGGCTGGAGTGCAGTGGTGTGATCTTGGCTCACTGCAACCTCCGCCTCACGGGTTCAAGCGATTCTCCTACTCAGCCTCCTGAGTAGCTGGGATTACAGGCGTGCACCACCAAGCCCAGCTAATTTTTGTATTTTTAGTAGAGACAGGAGTTCTCCAGGTTGGTCAGGCTGGTCTCGAACTCCTGACTTCAGGTGATCCACCCGCCTCAGCTTCCCAAAGTGCTGGGATTCCAGGCATGAACCACTGCACCCAGCTGAGAATAATTATTTTCAACTAGAATTCTGTACCAAGCCAAGACATGAATCTAATGTGAAGGTTGGAGGATGGAATAGAGGCATTTCCACATATACAAGGTATTGCCGATTTTACCTCTCCTATACCTTTTAAGGACGCCCATGAACTACATGCTTTCCCAAAGAAGGAAAGAACTAAAAAGAGGAAGAGGTAGGATCCAGAAAACAGGGAATACAACCCATGAGAAAAGTCAAGGACATGTCAAGAAGGAAATGGCAACAGGCAAAATAGAAAATTTTGTGATATTACCATATTGGGACAGCGGGATGATCGTGTGTGTGTGTTGGGATGGGTTGTGTAATTGGAGCTAACTCATCTTCCATAACAGCAAGTCAAGAAAGAAGGTAAAACTTGCTGTCAGCAAATATAGCTATAAGATCACAATATTACTAAATGATAGAAGAGAGTTTTTTTTAAATGGTTAACTCTGAATTAGAGTGGGAGGAGAATGGGTAGGGCCAGTGACTGTGATCCTTCATTATAAAACATATATATATATTTTTTTTGAGACAAAGTCTTGCTCTGTCGCCCAGGCTGGAGGACAGTGGCATAATCTTGGCTCACTGCAGCCTCCGCCTCCCAGGTTCAAGCAATTCTCCTGCCTCAGCCTCCCAAGTAGCTGGGATTACAGGCACCCGCCACCACACCTGGCTAATTTTTGTATTTTTAGTAGAGACGGGGTTTCACCATGTTGGCCAGGCTGGTCTCAAACTCCTCACCGTGTTGGCCAGGCTGGTCTCAAACTCCTCACCATGTTGGCCAGGCTGGTCTTGAACTCCTGGTGATCTGCCTGCCTTGGCCTCCCAAATTGCTGGGATTATAGGCATGAGCCACTGTGCCTGGCCTAAAAGTTATGTTTCTTTTATACTCTTTAAACTATTTGTATACCTTATTTTGAAAAGAATTAGAAATAAATTTAAAGTATAAATTTAAGAAATTCTCCAACTCTTGCCACCCAGAGCAGAGAACAAAATCTAAACTCCAGGGCAAAGCCTACCAGGCCTTTTATGATCTGACCATTTCCAAATTGTCCACCCTAATCCCCTCTCACTGAGGCCTCCAGTTTGTAGGCTCCAGCAGATCTGAACTGTCAGTAAGTATAATAGTTCATGGATCTCATGGAGCCCCCGGCCCTCCCATACCTCCCTCTACCTGAAACTCCTCATTTGGTCCTCCTGGCCAGCTCCTCCACATCCTTGGAGCCACAGCTCTCACATGGCCTCCTTGGTGACACTTTCTTCCCTTCTGCCCCAGATAGGCTCGCATGTTTCTCGCCACCACCCCATCCCCACACTCAAAGCAGCTACCTTAGTGTTTCATAATCACAGGTGTACCTGTGGGCCTCCCTTCTGAACTGTGTGCTTTTTGGGAATGGAGATTATTATGTTTTTCATTTCTGTATCTCAAGTACAGTATCTCAATCCTGGAAATCGATTAATATCTGTTGAATAGATAATGAATGCAAACGAATTGAAAGCAAGAGCCCCCACCCAGAGAATCCTAGAATTCCACAACAGTGACCTTTCAGCTACCAAATGCAATTGTCTCCTCTTGGTCTTTCTCCTCCTGGTCCTTCCTGAAGCAGCAGACACCCATTGCCACCCTCTTAAAACAGGCTATTTTGTTAGATTTCATCTCCCTTCTCTCTGCAGGGACTCTTGCAACATCTCTGACTATTTCTATGTGTATTTAATCAACTCTGGAGTACTTGCTTTCTTTTGTTTTTTTAGTCGCCTGGTTTGTAATGAACTAAGATGCTTTCAGTGGTAAGATGTACCATTATTTTACCCATCAGTCAAGAAAGAAAAAAGAATCCACCGATTAGGCTCACACCTGTAATCCAGGCACTTTGGGAGGCCACGGCCAGTGGATCACTTGAGCCCAGGTGTTCAAGACCAGCCTGGACAACATGGTGAAACCCCATCTCTACCAAAAATACAAAAAATTAGCCGAGTGTGGTGGCATGCCCCTGTGGTACCAGCTACTTTGGAGGCTCAAGGTGGGAGGATCACTTGAGCCCAGGGAGGTTGAAGGGAGGCTGAGGCGGCAGTGAGCAGAGATTGTGCCACTGCACTTCAGCCTGGGTGACAGAGCGAGACCCAGTCTCAAAAAAAAAAAAAAAAAAGAGCTTTTTTTCAGATTTGATTTGATCCCGTAGCCTTCTTACACATACATAAGAGAAAATACGAGAAAAACAGATTGGTTAAAATATTGCTAAAACATCTCAAACTCTTCTGAATCATTTTTGATCAGTCATTGTTTTCATGTTTTTTTCACAGAGTCATCCTCTCTACTATCAAGGGCTTTGTTAAGAAAGTGTTCACTGTTGTCTCAGGCCACTGGCCCCTACTCTGCAACTTTTGAGGTGCGTTTGAGTGCAGTGACAACCAGGGAACGGCTGTCACCTGGTCAATGGTAACTGTGACAGGCAGCCCAATTCAGAGATGTTACTTGGAGAAAATGTGCATCTTAGAACTGATGAAATATGGCACTCCTCAATCTCCTTTCAAGGCCCCTCCTATGCTCCTTCTGTTCCGCAGGGTCCCTCAACCCTTCTCCTTCTAAAGAGCTTTCTCTCGAACACCAGTTCTCAAATTTGAGCTTGAATGAAGCTCACCTGAAAGGCTAAATCAGATTGCTGGGCCTTGCCCCCCAGTCTCAGATTCAGTAGGTCTGGGGTGGGGCCCAAAATTTGCATTTCTAACAAGCTCCCAGGTGTAGCCTTTGCTGCTGGCCTGAGGGCCACACTTTGAGAACCACAGTCTTAGAGGCTCTCCTTAGACTTAAAACCCCACTCAAGATTTTGCTTCTGGGCTGTAATTCCAAACTCTCCAGGGTCTCTGTGAACTGATCAAACTCAATATGTCCAAAACTTTATCCATTATCTCATGCTCCTTCCCACCCTGACTCTCCCAGCTGACGAAATTGTTCCTTCTGGGTATTTATGTTTTCCCCCTAATGGCCTTGCCATCTCCCTAGTAGCCTAAATTAGAAATCTAAGAGTCCTCCTTCCCTTAGCATCCACAATCCAGTCACTATCCTTTTAATAATGAATCCACCTTTTTTTTTGTTTTGTTTTGTTTTTGTTTTGTTTTTTTTTTTGGAGACAGAGTCTCACTCTGTTGCCCAGGCTGGAGTGCAATGGCCTGATCTCGGCTCACTACAACCTCTGCCTCCCAGGTTCCAGCGATTCTCCAGCCTCAGCCTCCCAAGTAGCTGGGATTATAGCCACCACGCCTGGCTAATTTTTGTATTTTTAGTATAGACGGGGTTTCATCATGTTGGTCAGGCTGGTCTCAAACTCCTGACCTCAAGTAATCTACCCGCCTCTGCCTCCCATAGTGCTGGGATTACAAGTGTGAGCTACTGTGCCCAGCCTGAATCCACTTTTGAAAGTTCCTCAAGCCTAACTTCTCCTTCTAGCCCTTTTGCCCTGATCTTGGTTTGGACGGCCCTAACTGCACTGTTAAAATTGCTTCCTGTGGCCGGATGTAATGGCTCACACCTGTAATCCCAGCACTTCGGGAGGCCAAGGCAGGTGGCTCATGAGGTCAGGAATTTAAGACCAGCCTGGCCAACAGAGTGAAACCCCCTTTCTACTTAAAATACAAAAATTAGCCAGGTGTGGTGGCATGCACCTGTAGTCCCAGCTACTCGGGAGGCTGAGGCAGGAGAATCACTTGAACCCAGGCGGAGGTTGCAGTGACCCAAGACCATGACATTGCACTCCAGCCTGGGTGACAGAGTGAGACTCCATCTTGGGGGAAAAAAAAAAATTGCTTCCTGCTGGGCGCAGTGGCAGACGCCTGTAATCCCTGCACTTTGGCACTTTAGGAGGCCAAGGCAGGAGGGTCACGAGGTCAGGAGTTCAAGATCAGCCTGGCCAACACAGTGAAACCCTGTCTTTACTAAAAAAAAAAAAAAAAAAAAAAATTAGCTGGGCATGGTGGCCCACACCTGTAATCCCAGCTGCTGGGCAGGCTGAGGCAGAAGAATCGCTTGAACCCAGGAGAATCTGCAGTGAACCGAGATTGCACCACTGCACTCCAGCCTGGGCAACATAGCAAGACTCTGTCTCAAAAATAAATAAATAAAATAAAAATAAAATAAAATTGCTTCCTCACTGGGCTCCCAGCCCCTAGCCTCTCCTGCTTCCACATCATCGTTCCTATTGTTGCCTGAATTATCTTGCTGAAAGGAGATCTGATTAATTCCCTGCTCAGAAGCCTTCAATGACTTCCCATTGCCAAGCACAACTAACAAAACAAATACTATTTATTTCATGTGCCAGGCACTTAGTTACACCCTCACATGCATGTCTCATTTCATTTTTGCAATAACACTGTAGGGGCAGGAACTATTAACATTTTACTGATACGGACATTAAGGCTCAGGAAAACTAAGTCACTTGCCCAAGGTGATACAACTAAGAAATCGTGAAGCTGAGATTCTAAGCCTGGTTAAATAGCCCTCAAATCTTAAATATGACTCCTTACTTAACTGTTCCTTACCATGACCTGTGAAGCCTGGTGCACTCCAGTGCCATGCTGTTTTCCCAGCCCATCATCCACCACTGAGCCCCCTCCTCTCTTGCTGCCAAGCATGTTTACCTTCCACTTCTGAGAAAGTGTCCCTTCTTCCAGGAAGCCCTCCCTGCCCTCCAGAAGGTATAAACCTTCTCTGGACTCTATGTGTCACCTAAGTCACAGGCTGACCACATTCTGACTGGCATCCTGGCTGTGTCTCCAAAAAGAGGAATTGTGATTTGTTCTGTCATTTGCCAGTGCCCTACAGATAGCTAACATTTTGTGGGTTTAATGGACTCTTCTTGTAGAGATGAGGAAACTGAGGCCAGAGGAACTCAGTCCTTGCTTGCCCAAGGTCAGCCAGTTGGCTAGTGACTGGGCCGGGACCAGCACCTAGCTCCTGACTCCTGCCCTCTCCTGCTCTTGTCTCTGCACCCCTGTCTTGTGCCTCCCGGGATCCAGGATCCAGATCCGCCAGCTGCATTCTCCAGGACAAAAGACCTGGAGGCGACCCAAGGTGGAATAACCCATCAATCATCCCCCTTCCCCTCTCCTAGGGGAGTTTTCTTCCAAGCCTGCATCTGGGCCCCAGGTGAATGGAGGAAGCACTGTGCCAGGCCTCTTTCTTACTTGTTCCTTCTTGTTTTAAGTTAGAGACCCAGGAATTGCTCAAAAGACTCCCAGTGGCCTGTGCAAAGTTGGCCATCTACCCTGGGAACTCAAGGAGGAGTGCAGACTGGCTTTACCTAACCGTACAGCCCCTCATGGCCATGTATCACATGTTAGTCAACGGCTGCTACTCTACCTGGAAAAAAATCCAAGTGCACCCCTCACCATGGCCCCTAGACTTTGCCCATCCTCTCCAGCCCCTTCCACTTTGCCTTTGCTCACTGACACTAGCCATGTTGGCCCTCCTGCTGTCCTGAAACACACTGGCTTTTTCCTCTGCCTGGAACGCTGGTCCCAGGATTCCTTGATGAGCTTCAGCTTCCTTTAAAAGTCACCTTATTAGCACAACCTTCCCTAATCCTCCTTCTAAATGAGACCCCCCCCCTTTCTCAGTCACTCTCTGGTCTCATCATTGTTTTTTCTCCTTCATAACACCTGTCTCAGTCTGTCACCATGCTTCATTATTTATCATATTTATTGTCAGCTTTCCCCCTACAATGCAAGCCCACTAGGGTGGGGGCCATAGGAATGCTTGAGCCCAGGAATTCAAGACCAGTGTAGGCAACATAGAGAGACTCCGCTTTACAATTTTTTTAAAAAATAAATTAGCCGGGCATGGTGGTGCATGCCTGTAATTCCAGCTCCTCAGAAGGCTGAGGCAGAAGCCCAGGAGTTTGAGGCTACAGTAAGCCATGATCATGTCTCTGCACTGAGCCTGGGCAACAGAGCAAGACCCTGTCCCAAGGACCAAAAAAAAAAAAAAAAAGGAAAGAAAAAAAGAGAGAAAATTGCTTATGATTTGAGTCTTTACAAGTTCTCACATCAGAGGTGCTATTAAGTCAATCACTTTGTACTGAACAACAATCTAAAATTTGGGAAGACACATGGTCCTAAGAAGACCGCAATCAATGCTCCTTGCCTGAGTGAATCACTACAAAGGGAGTAAATAAAAACAAACTTTTTTTTCTTTTTTTTTTTGAGACTGAGTCTTGCTCCGTCACCCAGGCTGGAGTGCAGTGTGTGATCTTGGCTCACTGCAACTTCCGCCTCCCGGGTTCAAACAATTCTTGTACCTCAGCCTCCCAAGTAGCTGGGATTACAGGCATGTGCCACCATGCCAAGCTAAGTTTTGTGTTTTTAGTAGAGATGGGGTTTCGCCATGTTGGCCAGCTGGTCTTCAACTCCTGGCCTCAAGTGATCCACCCGCCTCGGCCTCCCAAAGTGCTGGAATTACAGGCATGAGCCACCATGCCTGGCCTGGGAGTAAAGAAATTTAACACAAATTTAGTTATTCCCAGGAAAATAATCTTACAAGTGTTGGGTGTCAAAAGCAGTATGTACCTGATACATTGTGGATATCCTGATCATAAGTCAACACAAATAAAAAAAGAACTCCCCTTATGGTGTAGGACGTATACTTATGGCTTAAAATAAAAAAACTTTAGGGATAGCAGCGCATACATTCTCATAAAATTTCAATTAACTGATGGAAATGAAGGCAGCACACTGAAACACTGTTAAATGACTCAAAAAACTCTAGAGAAGGAAAACAAAGACATTTGTATCAAAGATTCATTTGATAAGACTTCCTTCACAAAATATGTGTAGAAAAACAACTTTTCAAAAATAATATATTGTTTTCCATAAGGTAATTTAAAATATACAAGCGTAACTAAATAATATATTGTTATAAGCAGACATCTGACTATTTTACCTAGATCCCTTAAAGTTTACACATATGCAAACTGGCCCAACTTCTTCAGTTTGTCCTCCCTGGGAAATGGGAGATCACTTTGTTTGGGGATTGCATTGCATTTGGACACACTGAGAACCTTCTACATGCCAGGTACTGTGAGAGGACATGGGGTTAAGTGAAAATCGAAGTAAATGTGGGCTGGGCGCGGTGGCTCACGTCTGTAATCCCAGCACTTTGGGAGGACGAGGCTGGCAGATCATTTGAGACCAGGAGTTCGAGAGCAGTCTGGCCAACATGGTGAAACCCCGTCTCTACTAAAAAAAAAAAAATACAAAATTAGCCAGGCATGGTGGTGCGTGCCTGTAATCCCAGCTATTTGGGAGGTTGAGGCAGAAGAATCACTTGGACCTGGGAGGCGGAGGTTGCAGTGAGCCGAGATTGCGTCACTGCACTCCAGCCTGGGCAACAAGAGGGAGACTCGGTCTCAAAAAAAAAAAAAAAAAGGTAAGTAAATGTAACCCTGTGCCTTAGGAGCTTGTACTCTTCTTGGGGTATCAGACAAAAAAAATGGCAATAACCATACAGTGGGAGAAGGGTGGCGTGATGGGCGAACCTTTGCAGGGCATCCAGGAGGAATGAGAGGAGAGAATCAGAGAAGCCTTCCTGGAGGAAATGCCTACTAACTGGAGACCTAAGGGACACAAGCTGGGAGTAGAGGTTGGGAGTAGGTGCAACAGAGAGAAGAGTATATGCAAAGTCTAGAAATTGAAAGCATGGAATAAAATCTGGTAACTAGAAAACAGAGCAATCAGGGTGACCACAGCATGCAAAAGAGAGTGGCATGAGACGTGGGGCAATCCCAGAGGGCGTCCTTGGCCATGTTCTGGAGCTTTGATTCTCCCCACAAGAAAGAAGGGAGACATGGTCAGATGTGTGTTCAGGCTGGGAACGGCCGAGCCTGGCAGCAGGGAGAACAGGTAGGAAGCGGTGGGAGTCAGCGGTGGCCTGAGCTGAAGCAGGGGAAGGAAGACAAGCTGCTGGGTCAAGTGATCTGAAGGAGGGAGAATGAACAAGACTTGGCCACTGGGATGTTAGTTCGGGGTGGTAGGGGGGTGGGCGCTGGGACAGGAAGCAGAGTTAAAGGTAAGACCCAGGTGTCTGGCTTGAACATGGAGGGCTGATGCAGGCACTGTATTGGGAACACAAGGAGAAATGGTGATGGAAGGAAAACCGCTTCTGTTTAAGACTTCGTGCAACTGGGGTGCTTCTGGGGCATCCAAGTGGAAATGTTCATTAGGTGTGAAAGGAATGGAGCTTGGGGAAGAGGATGACAGCAAGACCTATGGAATTAGCATTCATCCTGATTTCAGAGACAACTGAAGCCATGGATATGAGAAGGAAGATGCTGGGCGCAGAAGCTGGGTCAAGAACTGAGAGGAGGAAGAGAGGAAGAACCAGGAAGCTGAAGGTAGAGGAGATATATATTTTACAAGATTGGAGATACTAGAGATAGTTGAATGTTAATGGAAAGAAGGAAGGAAGGAAGGAAGGAAGGAAGGAAGGAAGGAAGGAAGGAAGGAAGGAAGGAGACTTTAGAAAATGAGCAAGGGAAGACAAAGGAGAGGAGGTAATAGCCGAGAGGGTCTCAGGAGGAGGGAAGGAGGTAGGATTCAAAGCCAGAGAAGAGCTGAGCCTGGGGTAGGAGACATCTCTTCCAGCAGTGAGTGAGTTGCAAGAAATAGCTGCGGAATCAGTGAACGGAAGCAGCTGCGAACATGGAAGAGAGTGCATCGGTTTGGCGGCAGGAAGCTGAGGGAGTTCTAGTTTCTCAATAAAACAGGAGGCAGAGTCATTGCTGAGAGAGACACAGGGTGACAGGGTCAAGGTTATTACAAAGGTTTTCATTACGGTGGAGTCAGTGTCACTCAGCCCTAAGTCCCAGAAGCAGCTGACTTTTCCAGCCACAGAAAGTGGCTCCATCTCTCAGAGGCACTCCTCTTGCCTAAATTCAGGAACCTGATGTATAAGCTCAGGGATGCCATGCAAAGAGAGCACACATACAAGGAGAAATTGATCTGTCTGCCTGACCTGCAAATTCACTCCTTGCAGAAGACCTGCAGGGGAACTAGATCCTAACCAGAAAGATATTAATCAGATAAACGGAATGTTTAATCACATCAGGCTGTCCCTAGGCTAAGACTCCCTTTTCCTAGGAGTGGTGGCTTTGCCTAAGTATGTCTGTTTTTTCTATGCCTCCAGGGCTAGCCAATCCTTGTTAATTGGCATTTTTTTTTCTTTAGATATGCGAGTAAATGCAATCAGGTTGAGGTCTATCTCTTCTGACTTGGAGCCATTCTGTTCCTTCAGGAAGGTGCCTTCATCTGTCTATGAGCTCATCTATTCTCAGTGAGTGTCATCACAGCCCCCAGCGACAAAAACAAAAACAAAACAAAAAAAAAAAACGAACAACAGAAAAAAACCTCCCTTTCATAGCATAGAATTGGGCAGGGTTGGAATAAACACTAACATGCACTACTAGGAGTTGATTATAGGTCTCTGAGAGCCAGGAGACTGAATCTGCCTAGTTCAATGTAGTGCAGAGGAGTGTTTCAGGTTTTGTGGATCAGGCCGTCACTATTGCAACTACTCAGCTCTGCTGTTGTAACGCTCAAGCAGCCATAGACAATATACAAACAAATAGGTGTGGCTGTATTCCAACAAAACTTGATTTATACAACCAAGGGTGGCTGGCTTACAGGCCGTAGTTTGCCCATCTTCCCCCTCTTCCCTCCCCCGCCATTGTACTACCAGCCAAGCACATAGTGAGGGCTCAATAAAGATTGGTGGATTGGACGCAGTGGCTCACGCCTGTAATTCCAACACTTTGGGAGGCTGAGGTGGGTGGATCACTTGAGATCAAGAGTTGGAGACCAGCCTGGCCAACATGGTGAAACCCTGTCTCTACTGAAAATACAAAAATTAGCCGGGTGTGGTGGTACACGCCTGTAATCCCAGCTATCTTGGGAGGCTGTGGCAGGAGAATTGCTTAAGCCTGGGAGGCCGAGGTTGAAGTGAGCCAGGATCGCTCCACTGAACTCCAGCCTGGGTGACAGAGCGAGACTCTGTCTCAAAAAAAAAAAAAAAAAAGATTGGTGGAGAAGGAATGACTCGGTCTTAGTCTTTCTCCCTAAATCTATCATGACATCTTTGTTTCTGCAAAATTTCTTCCCATATTAGTACAACCATTGGATTGCGCAGAAGGAAGTGATCTAAGGAAGAGGCAGGGTGTGAGGTAACACGATTAACATGATTTTCAGAGCTTTTCTTTTCTTTCTTTCTTTCTTTCTTTTTTTTTTTTTTTTTTTGAGACGGAGTTTTGCTTTTGTTGCCCAGGCTGGAGTGCAATGGCAAGATCTCACTGCAACCTCTGCCTCCCGGGTTCAAGCAATTCTCCTGTCTCAGCCTCTCGAGTAGCTGGGATTACAGGCATGCGCCACCACACCCAGCTAATTTTTGTATTTTTTAGTAGAGACGGGGTTTGATCCTGTTGGCCAGGCTGGTCCTGAACACCTGATCTTAGGTAATCCACCTGCCTTGGCCTCCCAAAGTGCTGGGATTACAGGTGTGAGCCATCGCACCCGGCCGCTTTTTTTTTTTTTTAAAGAAACTCCAGCTCTGTTGCCCAGGCTGGAGTATAGTGGCAGGATCATAGCTCACTGCAGCCTCCAAACTCCTGGGCTCAAGCAATCCTCCCACTTCAGCCTCCCAAGAAGCAGGGATTACAGGCACGAGCCACCATACCCAGCTAATTTTTAAAAAATTTATTGTAGAGATGAGGGTCTCGCTTTGTTACACAAGCTGGGCTGGGCTGGAACTCCTGGCTTCAAGGGATCCTCCTGCCTCAGCCTCCCAAAGTGCTACCATTACAGGCAGGAGCCACCACACCTGGCCCAATTTTCAGAGCTTTCCAAGCATTTACAGGCACTCGTGAATGGCTCATTCCATGACTTAAGCCCTCTGTCCACACAATAGAACTTAAAAAAAATGACCTGAATATTAGGTGCTTAGGAGACTATGTCCTGGTTTGGAGCACAGTGCTACGCCTGTAGACTCATGGGCACTAAGCAGTAGATTGCAGCTACCTGGGCCAGGCGCAGTGGCTCCTCCCTCTAATCCTAAGCACTCTGAGAGGCTGAGGCAAGAGAATTGCTTGAGGCCAGGAGTTTGGGACCAGCCTGGGCAACATAGCAAGGCCTCATCTCTACAAAAACAAAACAAAAAAAAACCCACAACAGATTCCAGCTTCTTAGGGAAAGAACCACGTCCCTTTCTCTCCTGCTCCCCCTCTGCACCTTACTCAGAGAGGGACTCAAAGAATGCTCACTGAGTTCTGAGTTTGTCTCTGTGGTTGTCCAATTCTAGGTCATTTTTCTCCTGTCTGTACTTTTCCTAGTTTTCCAGATGTTCTACAGTTGCTACGTTTAGAAACAACAAAATCTGGCTGGGTATGGTGGCTCACGCCTATAATCCCAGCACTTTGGGAGGCCAAGGTGGGAGGATCACTTGAGGTCAGGAATTCGAGACCAGCCTGGCCAACATGACGAAACCCCGTCTCTACTAAAAATACAAAAATTAGTCGGGTGTGGTGGCACAGGCTTGTAATCCCAGCTTCTTGGGAAGCTGAGCTGGGAGGTGGAGGTTGCAGTGAGATCACTGCACTCCAGCCTGGGCAACAGAGCGAGACTCTGTCTCAAAAAAAAAAACAACAACAAAACCTAAATCTTTGTTAGAACAAAACCAAAGAGTTAATAAAATAACCACAGCAATCTGTCAGCCTTGAGTTTACTTTTCCCTGTCCTGAATATAAACCTCTTTCTGGTTACGAACTTGAAACTCTCCTTGTGGAAAGAGAAGAGGCTGCAGCAGTTCAGTTCCAACTGCACAAATGCTGCTGTTTGTCTTTTGACTTCTACGAAGAGATCATTATCCTATTCGCGGTAGCAAATAATTAAGACTATTTACGAATCTTTCATGTGGACTCCTGACTTGCTGAGAACATTCGCAGACACCTGGGCCTCTGTCAAGCATGCAGTAGGATTTCTGAGTTTACACACATTAACCTCTGCTTTCAAAAAATGTGATTCAAAACTCTCCAGCCCATCTAAGAACAACATGGTGAGAAGAAAATGTGACTGTCTTCTAACAAGCAATTCTTCAAAAACTGACCTCAAAGAGTCTAAAATAATGGCAACCTCTCCAAGACAACCTTCCAATTTAGAAAGAAAAATGTTGTTATCTTGGTAACTTCAGTTGACTTAAACATTTTGTGTTTGTCAAATATCTGATGATTTGTGTAAAAACCATCATACTGGAGGTTCTCATTCTTGGCTGAGGCAAGAGACAGCATCACCATGCAGTGCTTTTCAAATACAGAGATCCCAGGGCCTTCCCCCAGACTCAGACTCAGGGTGTATAAAGCGGGCAGAGACCAGGGTGCATTCATTTTTATGTCCTGGAGGCCAGCACAGTGCCTGATAAAGACGATGCTCAAAAAATATTTGCTTGACAAAGATGGTAAAGGGGTCCTTCTGGGATAGTTAAGAAAACTGAGGTCTGGGGTTTCAGGAAAACGTGCTCTACTGTTTTGCACTGCTAGAATTTTTTTTATCATGTTTATTTTTTTAAAAGGGCTCATTTAAGAAATAAATCACTTTATGACCGGGCGCGGTGGCTCATGCCTGTAATCCCAGCACTTTGGGAGGCTGAGGCGGGTGGATCACTTGAGGTCAGGAGTTTGAGACCAGCCTAGCCAACATGGTGAAACCACATCTCTACTAAAAATACAAAAAATTAGCCAGGTGTTGTGGCCAGCACCTGTAATCCCAGCTACTTGGGAGGCTGAGGCAGGAGAATCACTTGAACCCAGGAGGTGGAGGTTGCGGTGAGCCAAGATCATGCCACTGCACTCCAGCCTGGGTGACAGAGTGAGACTCTGTCTCAAAAAAAAAAAAAAAAGAAAAAAAAGAAAAGAAAAAAGAAATTTATAACTAAAATAGCTAAAATAATCTGAGTCCTGTTAGATCAAAACAATTATTGTTTTATTTAAATATATGTAGATTACAAAAGCTTATTCTATAAGATAAATGTGTCCGTTGTTTTCATAATAATATGTCTTAAATCACATTGTTAAAGTTAAAATAATAATTACAAACATTTGTTTGGCACTTACTAGGTGCTAGGCAATATTCTAAGTGCTTTATATATATTAACTCACGTAAGCTTCTTAACAGCTCTATAAGGTAGGAACAATATCTCACTTTTTATTTTTATTTTTTAAAGTTTTATTATTTTTTTTTGAGACGGGATCTTGCTCTGTTGCCCAGGCTGGAATGCAGTGGTGCCATCTCGGCTCACTGCACCCTCTGCCTCCTGGGTTTAAGGGATTCTCCTGCCTCAGCCTCCCAAGCAGCTGGGATTACAGGCACCTGCCACCATGCCTGGATAATTCTTGTATTTTTAGTAGAGACAGGGTTTCACCATGTTGGCCAGGCTGGTCTCCAACTCCTGAGCTCAGGCAATCCACCCTCCTCGGCTTCCTGAAATGCTGGGATTACAGGCGTGAGCCACCACGCCCAGCTGATATCTCACTTTTTAGATGAAGTAACTGAAGCACAGAGAGAAACAGGGAGCATGTCCAAGGTGCAGCTATAAGGGGACGATGGAACTCTCTGACCAGGAGCCCTGATGGTTAGCCAATGCACCACACCATCTCAACTCATATGTGGAAGTGGAAATATATCCAATCTTAATGTCTTCAATTGGTTTCATAAATAGATTGCCATCTGAAGAAACTTAAACACATAAATATTTGTTGAATAAACAGAATCATCCCGGGGAAGCTTAGCCTGCCTCTTCTAAAAGGGAAATGAATGGGGTAGGTACATTCTGGGGACAGTGAGGCAGGGCCCTGGAAAGGGATCTGATGCAGGGGCAGGATGGGTGGTTCCTGGGTGTTCTCCTGTCTGGTCTGCAGTTTCTGTGCCAGTTGGATGGCACCAGCTCATCGCAGTGACCTGCATGAGTAGAGATTTTGTCTATCCTATCACCAGCACCTACAGCCTGGCTTGGTGCTTTGTAGGTGCTCAACAGATACTTGACTAACTGAATGAAAGTGCTCTACCCAGGGCCTGACGCAATTAACAGTCACAGCTATCGGCGAGGCACGGTGGCTCAGGCCTGTAATCCCAGCACTTTGGGAGGCCAAAGTGGGCCCAAGTGGATCATTTGAGCCCAGGTGTTCGAGACCAGCCTGGGCTACATGGTGAGACTCCATCTCTATTAAAAATAAAATTAACTGGGTGTGGTGATGTGCACCAGTGGTCCCAGTGGTCTCTCTCTGCCATGAATTTGATAACAGCCCTGTGGGGGCAGGCCCACCATTCTCCCCAATTTATTCTCCCCAATTCACCTCGTGGTGACTTTACAGAGCGACCCACCAGGGTTCTTGCACGCCTTTTGTCAGAGTGATTGACTCTAGTACCCACAGAAAGAGGGTGCCACCACCATGGCCATTGGAATGTGACTCAGGTGATATGCAAATGTATTGATAAAAAGCTTATGGGTGTGGTGGCAGCGACTGTCGTTCTAGCTACTTGAGAAGCTGAGATGGTAGGATGGCTTGAGCCCAGGAGTTCAAGGCTGCAGTGTGCAATAATTGTGCCTATGAATAGCCACTGCACTCCAGCCTGGGCAACATAGCAAGACCCTTATCTCTCTCTCTTTTTGAGATGGAGTCTCACTCTGTCGCCCAGGCCTGAGTGCAGCGGCCCAATCTTGGCTCACTGCAACCTCCACCTCCCGGGTTCAAGCGATTCTCCTGTCTCAGCCTCCCTAGTAGCTGAGATTACAGGCATTTGACACTACACCCGGCTGATTTTTTGTTTGTTTGTTTGGTATTTTTAGTAGAGACGGGGGTTTCACCATGTTGGCCAGGCTAGTCTTGAACTCCTGACCTCAAGGCCCACCTTGGCCTCCCAAAGTGCTGGGATTACAGACTTAAGCCAGTGTGCCTGGCCCGAGACTCTCATCGAAAGAGAGAGAGAGAGAGAAAGAGAGAGAGAAAGAAAAAGAAAGAGAGTGAGAGAGAGAAAGGAAGGAAGGAAGGAAGGAAGGAAAGAAAATACAGGTCTTAAAAGATAGGTCAAACTGGGATCCAGACAGGATGGGTTGAGAGAGAGAGAGAGGAAGGGAGGAAGAAAGGAAGGAAGGAAGGAATGAAGGAAGGTCGGTCTTAAAAATAGGTTAAACTGGGATCCAGACAGGATGAGCTCCTGTCCTGATTCCAACAGGTCTGAGTCTTCTACAGTGAGAAAATACTCATATATTATTATTATTATTTTGAGACAGGGTCTTGCTCTGTCTTCCAGGCTGGAAGGCAGTGGTGCCATCACAGGTCACTGCAGCCTCAGCATCCCAAGTAGCTGGGACTAGAGGTGTGTGCCACCATGCATTAATTTAAAAATAATAATAATAATGATGGGGTCTTACTGTGTTGTCCAGGCTGGTCTCAACTCCTGGCTTGACCTATCCTCTGGCCTTGGCCTCCCAAAGTGCTGGGATTACAGGCATGAGTCACCACATCTGGCGTTTTACTTGTATAAGTAAGACAAAAACAAGGTGAGGGACGCTTTCTATGTCCCGTAAGTCTGGAATTGCAGGGCAAATTATATTTTTCCCCCGCACAAAATAAACTTTTTGAGGGACACACATTTGACAGTGTACTCCATACCAGTGAGAAGCACCCAGGGTTTGGCATTCCTGTGGATTTTCTTTTGGTTTTCTGGGGCTGTGCATGGGGGAGCTGAGGGGGTGGGGAACGCGTGTCATCTCAACAACAGTCTTGCAGCTGTCCAGTGCCAGAATGAGAAGCCCTGAGCAAGGGAAAAGGCGCCCCACAGAAGTACCGCTCCAACAGCGCCCAGAATTGGCAGTCTCTGGGAATTCCTAGGGCTTCTGCCAGACCCGCAGGCACGGCTGCCACCCCCAACCCTGCGCCCAGGCTCCTTGAGGCCCACCACGCACCTTGGATAGTCCTCTTGAAGAAGGCCTTGCAAGCCTCGCAGGAGGCCACGCCGTAGTGGTAGCCAGAGGCAATGTCCCCGCACACGAGGCACAGGCGCTTGGGGATGGCGTTGAGCATGTACTCGCACTTGATGGCCGAGTCCTCCATGATGCCGCTGGCACAGTCCTCGTAGCTCTTGCGGCATGGGGTGCCTCCCAGCCCGGCGCCTGCAAACATGGGTGGCGAGTCCAGACCGTTGGCGTGGGTGCCCAGGGCCAGGCCAAAGCCGCCGCTGGCGTCGGACGAGCCACTGGGGCTGTGGTGGCTGAGGGCATCGATGCCCGAGGACGGGCTGGACGGCTCAGTCTTGATGAAGGAGCCGCAGCTGGAGCCCAGGTGCCTGTCGTCCGAGGACATCCTGTTCAGCAGCCTGTGGACACAAATCGGGAAGTCAGCCCCAGCAAGGTGCTGTGGGTGTGGTGGGCGGGTCCAGCCCCGCAGGTAGGGTGGCTGGGAAGGGCTCTATGCTAAGGCTTTGGTGCGATAAAACAACGGTGGAGAAGGTCAGCTGGTCTCCCCTCGGCGCAGCCGGGAGCAAGTTTCTGGCATTACCTCCAAAACCTTCGGAGGCCTCAAAGAAACTTTATTTTGATCAATAAACTTCAGCGGACCAGGTGTGGTGGCTCACACCTGTAAATCCCAGCACTTTGAGAGGCTGAGCGGGGAGGATCATCGCTTGAAGCCAGGAGTTTGAGACCAGCCTGGGCAACATAGGGAGACCCCATCTGTTAAAAAAAAAAAAAATTAGCCTGGCATGATGGTGTATGCCTGTAGTCCCAGCTACTCAGGAGCTGAGGAGGGAGGATTGCTTGAGCCCAGGAGTTTAAGGCTGTAGTGAGCTATGATCGCACCCCTACGTTCCAGCATGGGTGGTAGAGCAACACCTTATCTCAAAAACAAACAAAAAATCTTCAGATTAGGCACCCTAGTGCTTTGCAAATTTCTAGTTTGAGGGTGACACAAGATGGAAACTAGTCAGCCAAAATGTTTGGCCAACCTTCCTGCATAACAATAATACACAAAGGCTACAAGTTTTTTTTTTTTTTTGAGATGGAGTCTCGCTCCGTCGCCTAGGCTGGAGTGCAATGGCCCAATCTCGGCTTACTGCAACCTCCACCTCCTGGGTTCAAGCGATTCTCCTGCCTCAGCCTCCGAAGTAGCTGGGATTACAGGCACCCGCCGTCATGCACAGCTAATTTTTGTATTTTTAATAGAGACATAGGATTTCACCATATTGACCAGTCTGGTCTCAATCTCCTGACCTTAGGTGATCCACCCGCCTCGGCCTCCCAAACTGTTGGGATTACAGGTGTGAGCCACTGCACCCAGCCAATGGCTACAATGTAACAGTCTTGGCAGTACAGCTTTGGCCCAGAGACTAAGTACAGTGACCTGGCTTGGAGCTTCCCTGGGACCCCTACCTTCACTAAGATCGGAACCAGAGGCAACAGGTTATTTGGCTGATTCAAGAAGGAATCCTGTGGCAAAGGTACCAGCCAGATTGGCTGCCCTTTGGGTTTTGCCACTGGTCCAGGCTTGGTACCAGAAGGCATGTCTGGAAGGTGGCTCCCAAACCCTCCCTCTCTCATTTCCCTTCCTAGACCCCGAGTAGCCAGCTTCTACCCAGCCTGCCTGTCCCCCAAGAGACATGTCTCCACTGGAAAGCTTGAGGGAGCATTCTAACCCCAACCCTGAGCATCCCCCAGCTATTTCTACCCACTGAGCCTCCCCACCCACCCACAAAGTCCAGGTGAATTACCAGTATGGCAAGATCACTGTGTGGGATAACAGAATGTTTCCTGTAAACCAAGCCCCTCCACCCCGGCCATGCTGGTGGAGGAGAAGGCGGGCAAGGGTGTTCCCCTCCCGTATCCCAGCTCCCAGGATGAAGGGAGAGGACTTGTTCTTCTCTCAACATGGACAAGAAAGACAGCTGAGCTCACACCTGGGAGATTAAGGTGTGTGTTCAGGGAAACCCAGCTGTGGGTCACATTCCAGCCAGGATTGGGTCTGAGGGTGGCCTGGGTGGTGTTGATCTGTCCCTGTCCTTGACAGGCTGCCTCACTCCCTGAGCCTCCCCCTATGGAGGTAGAGAGGAGGCTCATGCTTATGCCTGGAGCAGGTGAAAGGAAAAAGGGAAAGATCTTGCAGAGGAGCAAAGGATAGGGAGGTCATAGGACAGCCTGCCAATGGAAAGACGACTCTTGGGTGGCAGGGAGGGTCTGTCTCTCCCTCTTATCACACCCACAGAGCCCACTTGCATCTTGCAACCCATGGCCAAATAGCAATGCCACAAAATGTGTCTGTGCAACCTTATGATTGGGAGAGGCCTCCACTGTCCCTGGTCTCATTAATGATTAATACAAATTAAGCCCTCCTGGCTGGGCGTGGTGGCTCATGCCTGTAATCCCAGAACTTTGGGAGGCTGAGGTGGGTGGATCACGTGAGGTCAGGAGTTCAAGACCAGCCTGGCCAACATGGTGAAAGCCCGTCTCTACAAAAAATACAAAAATTATCCGGGCATGGTGGCGCCGGCCTGTAGTCCCAGCTACTCGGGAGGCTGAAGCACGAGAATCACTTGAACTTAAGAGGCAGAAGTTGCAGTGAGCCGAGATCGGGCTACTGCACTCTAGCCCGGGAGACAGAGCAAGACTCTGTCTCAAAAATTGATTAATTAATTAATTAGCCCCTCCTGAGGGGCTGCCATTGACTATGGCTGGAGTCAAGGAACTCACTTTCCCATAGACCAGAAGCTGGGAGCTACAGACACAAAGATAAAAGATAACATAAAGCTCCTACTCTCCAGAAGTTCACCAACTCCCAAAATGCAGTGTGTGAAGACAGAGACTCCTGGGTCTCTTCTGTTTCCTGTGGAATGTCCCTGAGTCCTCGGAGACACTCTCCTATAAGCCCCAGTCCCCTGGTTGAGAATCTCCTCCAGGCCCTTCTACATCTCTGTGATCATCTCCCTGGGCACTGCCACACACCTTCTTCCCAACCACCAGTGGAGTCCCCAGGAAAGACCATCAGCCTGGCAGGCCATCAGCTGCAGGGGCATGTGATGAGCCAACAGGGGCGCACCTTGCTCCTCAGGCACCCTTCCACGAGGCAGGCAGAATAGAGCTGACCACATCCTAACTTTTAATCCCCTCCTGCTTTCCTGATGGCTGCTTTAGGTTTTGCTTTTCACAGGAAGACCCTAGGGCACTGTGAAAAACCCTGCTGAGCAACACAGCTCCCAGATCCCAGGGGTCTTCAGCCCAAACCTTCCCCAGGCTGCAGAGGGCTCCAGAGATCTCAGGAGATACACTTGACATAAACAGTAATTACAGCAGCGATGATGTAGTGACCAAGTACTCTGTGTCACCTGTTTCAGATCTGTGCCTTGATGGATAAGAGGCATTTGCCCCAAGGAAAGTAAATGGAAAGCTCCCAGCCCCTCCCAGGAGAGGGCAGGCCACAGTTTTCCCAACTGCCTCCCTGCACCCGTCTCATGGCTGGACAACCCTGAAGGACACCAGAGCAGGCGGCGGTTTGCTCCCCAAGCCTTGGTTTCCTCTTCCGCTCCCCTCCTTGATTCAGAAGGGTGCAAAGCATCCTGCATCCTGCAGTGTCTGGGCCCCACCTCCAGGCCCTGGATGAAGACCCTCAGGGCTGAGAGGGAAGCAAAGAAGATGCTGGCCTCTATCAGGGTTGGTGAGGGAAACCCGCTATTAACTCTATCAGGGTTGGTGCGGGAAGCCCGTTATTAACTATCAGGGTTGGTACAGGAAGCCCGCTATTAATTTAGAGCCTGAGTCCCAACTCAGGAGGATCTAGTAATTTTAGTCCTCCAGCTTTCTCATTTCCATGTTTTTGTTTTGTTTTGTTTTTTGTTTTTGAGACGGAGTCTCACTGTGTCACCCAGCCTAGAATGCAATGGCGTGATCTCGGCTCACTGCAACCTCTGCTTCCTGGGTTCAAGTGATTCTCCTGCCTCAACCTCCTGAGAAGCTGGAATTACAGGCTCCCGCCACCACGACTGACTAATTTTTGTATTTTTAGTAGAGATGGGGGTTTCACCCTGTTGGCCAGGCTGGTCTCGAACTCCTGACTTCAGGTGATCCGCCTGCCTTGGCCTCCCAAAGTGCTGGGATTACAGGCGTGAGCCACCACACCCCGCCTCATTTCCATAACTATTATTTTGGCCTCCTCAGCATGCCTTTTCTAGGAACTGTCAATGTGTATTTTTTGCACCTACTATGTGCCAAGTGCTGGCCAGATAATGGGAACACGACAGGCACAGCTCACGATCTCAAGACGCTCATACTTTCATAGGAACAACAGACACTAAGCCAACACAAGTGCACAGAGTGCCAGAAAGGGCCCCGCGGGTGCCATGCTGATGGGGGCACTGCTGCGGTGCCTCTGGTCTTGCTTCATTCATTCTCTCATTCTTCATATTTTCACACTATATGAAGACCCCCAGAGGGCCACAGCTTCTTTTCTGGGTTGAAATTCCTTCCAGGCTCTTCTGCATGTTTTCCTCACTCTCAGGAGCTGCCCAGCTTCCCCTCTCAGAGGCTGGGCGATACTAGCGGCTGCCCATCAGGCCCCAGCTGCATGTGAGACACCTTCTTCCGTGCCATCTTATTTAATCCTCACAGCCTGTCCGCTCTGCCCTCCTATCCCCACCTTACAGAAGGAAAAGGCTGGAGCTCAGAGCCTGTCCCATTCACTTGAGTCCTCGGAGAAGGAAAAGGCTGGAGCTCAGAGCCTGTCCCATTCACTTGAGTCCTGGGAGAAGGAAAAGGCCGGAGCTCAGAGCCTATCCCATTCACTTGAGTCCTGGGAGAAGCTGCAGTCCGAACCTGACTGCAGGTCCACGTTCCTTGCTTCACAGCACTCTGCCTCTCTGCTACCAGGCCTGGGCAAGAGCTGCTCCAGGCAGGGACCTCATCTTTCCAATCCCCCAAAATGCAGACAATGTCTGACTGCCACCCAGAGTTCCAAACCCTGGAATCCTGTCACTGCTCTTTTTCTTTTTCTTTTTTCTTTTCTTTTTTTTTTTTGAGACAGAGTCTGGCTCTGTCGCCCAGGCTGGAGTGCAGGTGTGCGATCTTGGCTCACTGCAACCTCTGCCTCTTGGTTTGAAGCGATTTTCTTGCCTCAGCCTCCCGAGAGGCTGGGATTACAGGCGCGTGACTCCACGCCTGGCTAATTTTTGTATTCTGTTTTTTTTTGGTAGAGACAGGGGTTCGCTATGCTAGCCAGACTGGTTTTAAATTCCTGACCTCAAGTGATCCCCCGCCTTTACCTCCCAAAGTGCTAGGATTACAGGATGGGCCACCACCCCCAGCTTCGCTGTTATTTCTTAACCTATAAAGTGTCAGAATAGAGAACTCTCTGGAAGCAGAGGGGGAGAGAGGCACAGTGCTCTCTGGGCTGCCTGGTTCCTGATGCACCAGGCAGGGGGAAGAAAGTTGCTGGAGAGGCCAGACCCTCTGGGAGACCTGCCCACTCCCTCCATCTGTCCTTATCCCCCAGGACCTCATGTGTTCATTCATTCGAATGAAAAATTTAAAGGCAGGCCAGGTGCAGTGGCTCACGCCAGGCATGGTGGCACATGCCTGTAATCCCAGCTACTGGGGAGGCTGAGGTAGGCGAATTGCTTGAACACAGGAAGCAGAGGCTGCAGTGAGCCGAGATTGTGCCACTGCACTCCAGCCTGGGTGACAGAGACCCCGTCTCAAAAAAAAAAAAAAAAAATGTAAAGGCAGGACAGAGGGAAAGAAGTCCAAGAAGACAGAGAAGATGTAACCAGAGGTGTGGGAAAAGGAAAAAATAGAGCATGTCATGGAAATTGGATGAGCAGAGCCATCTAGAAGGGCGGTGGGCAGCAGATTCCATCCTATAAGGTCAGGTGGAGTGAGAGTGAGAAGGGGCAAGTATCCCTACACTTAGCAGTCAGGAAGTGTCTGGGGACATTCACCACAGCCAGGTTACTGCATGATGGGGACAGAAGCCTCATTGCAATGGCTGAAAGTAGTGAATGCAGACAATTCTTTCAGGAAAATTGGCCGTGAAGGGTAGAGGACTGGGCGGAGCAGGGGTGCCTTCATGAACACATTCAGGCAGCACCAGCTACCTTGTAAACAAAGCATGCCCTCCTGGACTTGGAGGCTGTGACGTGGGGAAGGAATGTTTTGTTACTGTTGTCAGTACTAATTGTCAGCTTCTTTGATGAGAAGGGGGCGTGTTGAGAATGTAAGGAATTTAAGACATTTAAAAATTAGGTATCGATACCTCCCAGTTGGCCCTGAGCAATCTCGGTCCTACTGCTGGTCCAGTGTCATTACCATCACCGCCCCCACTTCTCTCCCTGAAGTAGATCATGAATCATATGGCTACCCGATGTTAAATATTAGTGGTAGAGGGCAAAATCAACACTTAAAGGCTGAAGACACAAAATACGTGTCAGCTTTTTGCAAACTGTACTTCAATCTTCATCGGAGGCAGCTGAGGGGCTTGGTGAACAGGTGGCTTCCTAGACCTGATCCCACTGACGTCATATTTTGAAGAAGCGTCTCTACAGGCAGGGCCCAAGAAATCTACAGGGAGGTTTGGTTTGGTTTTGGTGGTGCAGCTGTGATTCTTAAGGGTGTTGATTCTTAAGGGTGTGATTCTTAAGGGTGGGGTCCTACTGGAAGAAGTGATGCCATCATGAGAGGATCTTGTAAGAGTTTGCAAGGAATCCAGCCGGGTGTGGTAGCTCATGCCTGTAATCTCAGCACTTTGGGAGGCTAAGGTGGGCAGATGACTTGAGGCCAGGAGTTCAAGACCAGCCTGGTCAACATGGCAAAAACCCATCTCTACTACAAATACAAAAATTAGCTGGGTATGGTGGCATGCGCCTGTAGTCCTAGCTACTGGGAGGCTGAAGCAGGAGAATCACTTGAACCCGGGAGGCGGAGGTTGCAGTGAGCTGAGACTGTGCCACTGCACTCCAGCCTGGGTGACAGGGCGAGACACCGTCTCAGAAAAAAAAAAAAAAAAAAAAGAGAGAGAGAAATAGCTTATTCAGTAAGAGTGAGAGGGAAGGTTGGCTGTACAGATGAGAAGTTTGTAGGTGGCAGAGGGGGGCATTGAGTGAGGCCCTCTTTACCCCCCAAACCCACCCACACCACCTCCACTCAGCCTGCAGTGACTCTGTGAAGTAGGAGGGACAGGGAGTGAAGGCAAGGGCCGGAGGGCAGGAGGACTAGGAGAAGGAGGGAAGTTTGCAATAGTAACTGTGGGACAAAGTGGGAGCAGAAATCTGGGACGCAAAGGTTCTCCAGGCCTCTTAACTCATGATGCTGGTGCAACAATGCAAGCGGGCCCCATCTCCAGCAGCTGAGACCTAGGCTTCCATCCTCGGCACTACTAACATCTGGGGCTGAGTGATTCCATGTGATGGGGCTGTCCCAGCACTGCTGGATGCTCAGGAGCACCCCCGGCCTCTACCCACTCAATGCCCGTAGCACCCTGCCCCCAAGTATGTGAGCCAAAACCTACAGACATTGCCAAATGTCTCCCTGGGAGCAAAACTGCTGAGAACCACTGACTTAGAAGTATGAGGGAAGAGGGTGGACAAGGGAGTGATGTCAGAAAGGACGGGATTGGGAGAAAATGGAGAGGCGGCAATGGTGGTCTCCGGGAGGCTGAGGCTGAGGTCCAGCAGGAGGAAGAAGCAAGAAAGCTGGAAGGTTGGGAGACGGCGTCTAGGCCTGAGACTGGCACTTCAGATTTCACAGGTGGCCATGGGGTGGTGGCCAAGCCGGTGTCTAGGAGGAGTAGCTGCTGCAGGATGAGGCAGGAGGCAGCTGACCCTTGTGTTCTGGGGAGGAGCGGGGAGTGTCAAGTCCATCATCTGTGGTTGGCTGGGACCCAGTTCCCCACTGGATCGATAACTATTGACTCTTCATGGGGAGGGAACAGACGCCCATCCAAGCAGCCTTTGAAAGGGCAGTAGTCAGTGGTCGAAGCCCCTTGGGGCATCATTTTCCCTTTGATTCATCTCCTAACTGGAGCTTAGCAAGCGCTGCCCTGGCCTCAATTTCACCCCCATCTGATTAAACGTGGCCTCCCTCGTGCCCCAACTCATCTCTGCCCTGGGCCTTCTCAGTAGCCAGCGTGGGACCCTGTTCCCTTCGCAGCCTGATCCCCAGGGGACACCGAGCTTGCTGGGGGGCTCTTCCTGCCTTGGCTGGACATTGCTCTGCTGGATTACAAAGCAGGTTGAAGATTTTCCTAATGCAGAGAGCAGGGGAATCTCAAAAGTTCTGAATGAAACTCAAATTGCTGAACTATTTTGCCTTAGACTTCTAGAGGAAGACAGATTTCAGGGTATCAACAAGAGATCATCATCGGTGTTTTGTTTTGTTTTTGTTTTGTTTGAGATGGAGTCTTGTTCTGTCATCCAGGCTGGAGTGCAGTAGCTCCATCTGGCTCACTGCAACCTCCACCTCTCAGCTTTAAGTGATTCTCCTGCCTCAGCCTCCTGAGTAGCTGGAACTACAGGCGTGTGCCCCCATGCCTGGCTAATTTTTGTATTTTTAGTAAAGACGGGTTTCACCATGTTGGGTAGGCTGGTATCGAACTCCTGACCTTGGGTAATTTGCCCTCCTCGGCCTTCCAAAATGTGGGATTACAGGCATGAGCCATCAGGCCCGGCCTCTCACTGTTTTTTACGCTGGAATCTCAAGGATCTTTCCCACACTAGGTGGCCTGCTGCTGGTCAGAGGGCAGCAGGCAGAGGAATGGACTGGCCTGATAAGCGTCCAGCTTGCTTTCCTCTATGGGGTAGAATCTACCCACCACACCCAAGAATCTGGGTCAGGCTGAAGGACGGCCCCCAGAGCCTCATCCCTGCTGGGGCCATGCATTTAAGAACTGGAACAAGCAGCTGGGCCACTTAATGGCTACAAGCCTGCATGCTGGTAGCAGACGTGCCAGTTCTATCCCTAATTGCTGCTGGCTTTGAGTAATCAGGTCATCCTCTCTGGACCTCAGGGTCCTCATCTGTAAAATGGGCTCAATCACAGCACCTCCTTCACAGAGTTGAGCAAGAGCCAATGAAGGCACAATGCTTAGAACAGCGCAGGTGACAAGCAGGCACTCAGTGGATGTTGCCTGAGGCTGTGATTCTTCTGAGAAAGTCCAGCAGTGGGCAGGCCTGTGGTTAAACCCAGCAAACCCCTTCCCTCATCCAAGGCCCCCAGACCTAGAATTGAGGATGATTCTTCAAGGAACTTGCCATAGACCAGGAGGGAAAGAAGCTGGCTGGGCAAATTAAGAGGATAAACAAAACTGACATGGGAATCCACTCCACAGAAGAAAAATGGTTTCTGAACACTTGAGAGATTCTTATGTACATTTCAATAATTAATTTGCTAACCAGGGGCCATCAAGAGCTATCCATTAAAGCAGATCCTCAGACCCTCCAGCAAGGCTTTATGAGTCACAAATCAGCCCCTCAGGCACCTAGAACTACTATACTGTAACTAAATTTCCTTTAAAATAGTATTAAAGATTGCAGAATGCCCCTAACAGGAGGGTAGGATGGGGAGGACCATGTGGCTAGATGCGAATTACTGTCAAGGTTCCAGTTTTCCTGTTGAATATGGATTCATGGGCACTTATTACATGGGAGGGAGGGTAGGGAAGGAAGAAAGGAAGGAAGGGAGGCAGACAGGAAGGCAGGAAGGCAGGAAGGCAGGCAGGAAGGAAGGAAGGAAGGGGCAAGTAGGCCAATGGTTAAGTGTTACGAACCAGCGATAATGAAGAATCCAATTC